>NC_000001.11:52281107-52432622 GCF_000001405.40 Homo sapiens | reverse complement strand
AAAATTCTCTATTTTATTCTTATTAAACCAGGATAATCTTTCTAAAGTTCAGATTGATCATGTTCCATACCTGTTTAAAACCCTTCAGTGGTTTACCACTGCATTTAGGATATAGTCTAAATTACAAGGCTTATAAGACACTTCATTGTCTTGCCCCTATTTAGCTCTTCAGCCTCGGCCATTCCCCTGCCATTATATATACTCCAGTAATATTAAACTTCTTTCAGATTCCAATTACTTTAAAAAGCCATGTGTTTTCATACCTCTAGACCTTCAATCATATTGAACACTCTTCCTCTCCCCTTATCTCTCCCTTCTTGTATCAGACTGATTTCTGTTTACCCTGAGTCTCAGCTAAAAGATCACTTTTTCTAGGAAGCTTTCCCTGATTTCTCTTCTCTCCTTCTCCCAAAGTGACTTTAGGTGTTCCTGCTCTGGGATTTCATTATGTAGTTGACCCTTGAACAAAACAGGTTTGAACTGCGTGAGTCTACTTATACATGAATTTTTTCCAACAGATTGTGGTTGGAAAGTACAGTATTCCCAGGATGCAAAACCCAAGTATTCAGAGATCCAACTTTTTGTATATATGGGTTCTGTAGAGCTGACTGTGGGACTTGAGTACAGGATTGTGGGGGTCCTGGAACCAATCCCCTGCATATCCTGAGGGACAGCTGTACACTGTACATTCTTTATCATAGTACTCATTATACTTATTATGATTGCTTATGTAATCTTTGTCTGCTCCCTTCCTTATCCCCCTTAAACGTTGAGCTCCATGAGGGCATACATGTTGGTATTACATTTTTATTACCTAGAACAATACTTAGTACATAATTGACACAATAAATACTTGTTGAGGGACTGAATGAAAGTGACTATGAGATATTTAGATGGAAGTTTTGAGTTTGCAATAGGAAGTATGTGTTCTGCACGATGGGAACCATGTCTGGGCTCTCGTTTCTTTGGACAATAAAACGATTTGTGAGGCAATACCTACTTGAAAAGGGGGTTTGAGTACCTTGGGAAAAACTAATTATTTGTTATGATATACATCATAGAGTTCTGTTTTATAAAGTTTTTAATTTTGTATTTTATCTCTACTTTTATAAAATTAAGATGTTTATAAATTAATTAAAAAAAATTTTTTTTTTGTCTGCAGTCTGAATCACCATCTTATTCTCCTCAGCCTCAGCCATTTCCACAGAACTCTTCCCAGTCAGCTGCTATTACTCAGCCTTCATCTCAGCCAGGATCCCAACCTAAGCTTGGCCCACCTCAGCAGGGAGCCCAACCTCCCCATCAGGTCCAGATGCCACTGTATAACTTTCCCCAGTCACCACCAGCTCAGTATTCTCCCATGCACAATATGGGATTGTTGCCAATGCACCCTCTCCAGATCCCTGCCCCGTCCTGGCCCATCCATGGCCCAGTGATCCACTCTGCACCAGGCAGTGCCCCCAGCAATATTGGCCTAAATGATCCCAGCATCATCTTTGCACAGCCTGCTGCCAGACCTGTGGCAATCCCTAACACGTCTCACGATGGACACTGGCCCCGTACTGTGGCTCCAAATTCCCTGGTAAACAGTGGTGCAGTGGGGAATTCAGGTAACCTTTCCTTTTCTTCTTTTTTATCTGCATGTCTTTTCTTCTTTTGTATCTGTCTGTAGAAACAATGTGAGGAAAAAGAAGGAAAGCAGTATTTGTGGAGGGGACAGTACAGGATTAGATAAAGATTAAGAATATGGGCTCTGGACTCAGACTGCCTGGATTTGAATCCTGGCCCTGCCATTTATTATGTAGCTTGGGCAGTTAATCTCTTTGTGCATTGGTTTCATCTGTAAAATAGGCCATCTAACTCACAGGGATGTTGTAAATGTTAAATGAGGTGTAACACACATAAATGTTAGCTATTATTTTAGTATTTTAAAAAATTTTCACTGCCACTCAGTTTGGTGTATTATTTATTACACAGTTGATGAAATTGAAGAGTTAAGTAACTTCACTGTCTTACTGTCATGGTTAATAATGGTAGGTTGGCCGGGCATGGTGGCTCATGCCTGTAATCCCAGCACTTTGGGAGGCGGAGGCAGGTGGATCACCTGAAGTCAGGAGTTCGAGACCAGCCTGGCCAACATGGTGAAACCCCATCTCTACTAAAAATACAAAAATTAGCTGGGTGTGGTGGTGCACGCCTGTAATCCCAACTATGTGGGAGGCTGAGGCAGGAGGCTCGCTTGAACCCAGGAGGTGGAGGTTGCAGTGAGCCGAGATTGCGCCATTGCACTCCAGCCAGGGCGACAGAGCAGAACTGTCTCAAACAAAAAAAAGATCAAGGAAACCAAAAAAATTAATGATGGTAGGTCCAAGAGTTAAACGAATTTCTTTGTTCAAAACCGTGCTGCTGCATGCCCTAGACACTATTTTTTCTCAGGAACAATTCTTTAAAAAAGAAAAATAGTTTTTTTTCTGATATCTAAGTAATAAATGTTCATTATAGAGTATTTGAGAAATAAATCATCTATCATCTCAATTCCTAGACATAAATACTAAGGAATATTTTGGTGTATTACTATTCAGTCATTAAAAAAAAACTGCATATTTAAGAAAATAGTTGATACATGCTATAAATCTAGTTTTACATCCAGCTTTAAAATACATAGACACACACACACACACATATATACACACATACATATAAATATTTATACACACTTAAACATACACAGGCCGGCACTGTGGCTTACACCTGTAATCCCAGAACTTTGGAAGGCTGAGGTGGGCAGATCAGTTGAGGCCAGGAGTTTAAGACCAGGCTGGCCAGCATGGCAAAACTCTTGTCTCTATTAAAAATACAAAAATTAGCCGGGTGTGGTGATGCATGCCTGTAATCCCAGCTACTCAGGAGGCTGAGGCAGGAGAATCGCTTGAACCCAGGGAAAGAGAGGTTGCAGTGAGTTGAGATCATGCCATTGCATTCCAGCCTGGGCAACAGAGTGAGACTCTCTCAAAAAAAAATAAATAAATAAATAAAATTAAAAAAAAGTATATATATATATATATTTAGACAAAGTCTCAAAGTGTTGTCCAGGTTGGAGTGCAGTGGCTATTCACAGGCCAATCTAGCATACTACAACCTTGAACTCCTGGGCTCAAGTGCTCCTCCTGCCTTAGCCTCCTGAGTAGCTGTGGGACTACAGGCACACACCACTGTGCCTGACTTATGCCCAACTTTTTAGTGATAATTATTTTTATCTTAAGAACTATTAGCACTTTGGGAGGCTGAGGCGGGTGGATCACAAGGTCAGGAGATCAAGCACATCCTGGCTAACACGGTGAAACCCCGTCTCTACTTAAAAAATACAAAAAATCAGCTGAGCGTGGTGGTGGGCGCCTGTAGTCCCAGCTACTCGGGAGGCTGAGGCAGGAGGATGGTGTGAACCCGGGAGGCAGAACTTGCAGTGAGCCGAGATCGTGCCACTGCACTCCAGCCTGGGCGACAGAGCGAGACTCCATCTCAAAAAAAAAAAAAAAAAAACCTATTATGGAAATTTTGAAACATACACAAAAGACAGTAAAGTATATAATGAACCCCCCTCCCCATTAACCAACTTTAACAGTTATCAATAATTTGCTATTCTTTTATCGGATTCCTAGCCATTAAAAATATTTTTGACTTGACTGATCAAATCTCAGACATTGCATCAAATTTGCTTTTTAACTTCAGTTGTGTCACTTAAAAAAAACATGAGATCATTGCCATACCTAGTATCATCTAATACCCAGTCCTTGTTCAGTTTTTCCTGTTTATCTAAAAAAGTATATAGTTTTTTGAGACAGTCTCGCTCTGTTGCCAGGCTGGAGTGCAGTGGAACAATCTCGGCTCACTGCAACCTCCGCCTTCTGAGTTCAAGTGATTCTCCTGCCTCCCGAATAGCTGAGACTACAGGTGCGCACCACCATGCCCGGAATTTTTTTTTTTTTTTTTTTTTTTTTAGAGGGAGTCTTGCTTTGTCACCCAGGCTGGAGTGCAGTGGCACGATCTCAGCTCACTGCAACCTCCGCTTCCTGGGTTCAAGCGATTCTCCTGCCTCAGCCTCCCAAGTAGCTGGGATTAGAGGCGCCTGCCACCACGCCTAGCTAAATTTTGTATTTTAGTAGAGACGGGGTTTCACTATGTAGGTCAAGCTGGTCTTGAACTTCTGACCTCAAATTATCCGCCTGCCTCGGCCTCCCAAAGTACAGGGATTACAGGTGTGAGCCACCGCGCCTGGCCCTAATTTTTGTATTTTTAGTAGAGATGGGGTTTCATTCACCATGTTGGCCAGGATGGTCTCGATCTCTTGACCTCATGATCCGCCTGCCTTGGCCTCCCAAAGTGCTGGATTTACAGGCGTGAGCCACTGTGCCCAGCCTAAAAAAGTATTCCTATTATCGATTTATTTGAATCAAAATTAAAACTGTGTGTTTGGTTTTTATATCTCTTTGATTTTTATCTCTCTTAACTGTCCTTTATAACAGTTGCTGCTTCTGTTTTTTTTCCGATATTAACTATAAGGCACTGTAGAATTTCCCATATTCTGGAGTTGGCTGATTATGTCTTTGTGGCATCATTTAATGTGTACCTCTGTCCCTGTATTTCCTGTAAACTGGGATTTAGATTCAGAGACTGGATTAGATTCAGGCTCTTTCTGTTGGTAAGAATGCTGCTTGGTGGGTCCGTGTATTTCCAGTTTCCTCACTTCAGAAGGAACTTACTGTCTGGTTGTAACTATTTTAGTGACTTAAGATTGATCTGTGAGTTAGGTTTTATCAGCCTGTTTTACCCATTATCAAATTCATCATTTTTACTTAATAGCCTTAGCTGCCATTGATAATTGTTGCCAGTATCCATTATTTTGCTGTCTCCAGCTTCTTTTGGAACAATGCAAGTAAGGTATTTTGCTGAGCAAAAATGCCAGAATATGGTAACTTAATTAGATTTCTAAGATCAGAGGATATATGGCATACATGGTCCTTCTCATATATCATTCAACATGTTTATTGTGTATATGCCATGACATGCACTGTGATAGTCACTGAGTTATAGAACCATGAAGACAGACCCAGTGTTTTGCCCTTTGATGTATCAGCTCCATTTTTATAATTTGAAGTCTTCCATCCCCCTGCAACTTGTTGTTCTCAGTGTTTTAGTCATAGTGAACTAATTAATGTCCCACAAACATACTGTACTATCTCTTACCCCTGGTTGCTTATCTAAGTTGTTCCTTCTGCTTGGAATGTCCTCTCCGTTACCTCTGCTGCTCACTCTCACCTTCTTCTGTGCTGCCTCAAAGCTTGGCTAACTCACTCATCCTCCATTTTTAAATTTAGATCACTTTCTTCAGGAAATCCTCATTTTCTTAGTATTCATATCATAACATTTGTCTTACTGTGCTGAAATTGTCTGTTTACTCATCTGCATAACCCATTAGACTGAACTTCTAGAAGCAAAAAATTGTTTTTTGTCTGTCATTTTCTGTCTAGTAGTGAGTTTAGTTTTCTCTTTAGTAGCCTGCCATGTTCCTGTTATATAGTATTATTATCTAATAAGCTATACTTAATATTATTCATTGTATAGATACTCAATTCATAATTGTTATTAAAGCTACAGTTACACTGTGTTGAAAATGGAAGGACTGAATGGAAATATATTAAAATAATAATCATAGTTGTATCGGAGGAGATTATTATGAGTTTTTTTCCCCCATTTTTCAAATTATCTTTAATGAGATTGTATTACTCATTTTCTGGAAATTTTGGGTTATGAAAAACAGGCAAAGGGGATTGGAATATATCTTTTAAAAATACCCTTTTATGTTAAAACATCATTTCTCATTTGGTTATGACCTAATTCTGGATATACCAGTTTCACTTATTTTTGTAAACCCTGAGCCCTTCAGATTCAGCCCTTAGTTGTAACTTGGCTTTTATGAATTCACAGTGAACTAGCTGGTTTGCTTACTTTCTGAGAAGATTCAGCTTCTAAGAATGCAGTTCACACGGGCTTTAGTTTTTTTTGCTGCCTACTCTTTCCTATCCCGTACTTAATTTGAGTTCCTGCTGAGAAGTTTAGTGAATAAGGGCAGTTATTCCCTTTTATTCCCTAGCACACTGTGACTCTGAATGAGAAAAGCCACCAGAATGATCCAGAATATAAACTGGGTACTGCACTTCGAAAAATGTACTTAAAGATACATTTTAAAGGGAAATAGATTTGGGGGGATAGTTAGCCATAAAAAGAATAGGACTTACATTTTTTGAGTACCTACCTATATGCTAGCTCTTGTGCAAGCTACTTTCTTTTGGTTATCCAATTTAAACCTCATAATCTGAGGTTCAAAATGGAACCTTAGTAGTTTTAGGAAATGAGATTTGAGCTTAGACTTGTTTGGCCTCAAAGCCCAAGTTCTCAACCATTATGCCACAATGCCTCAAGCTTGTAATAGGATCTCCTTCCAGGCCAAGATATAATTGATTCTGGGATAGTTGGCATTGTCTTTAGGATAAAATCTTAAGTTCCTTTGCATGATGTACTAAGGTTTTTTGAAATGTATATCCCCACCTACCTGTCCCGCCTTTTCTCTTACCACTTCCTCCATCACTCCTGTCTCTATGTTGCAGATTGTTGTGCAGTTCCCCAAACTTGATGTGCTTTCCTGCTTTCAGGCTTTTGTACATGATACTCCTTCTCTCTGAAATGCCCCCCACCCCCTCCCTATTTTGCCTAAATTTTTCCTTGTTTTCTAGAACTCATATTAGTCAATCATCTTACGAAGACTGTCTCTAACCTTCAAAGACTGGGTTAGCCCTCTCTTCAGAACATTTTGCCTGTTCTACTAGCAATTATTACATATTGTTGTGTATATATATATCTCTTCTTGTATGTCTCTTATGAATAATTTGAGCAAATACCAATGCTTTATTCTTTAAAAAAGTTTGTTTGGTATTCTCTGAATTTAGCATAGTTCTTAGCCAATGGTAGGTACTGAATATATCTTTGTGGAATGAAGGGATATTTCAATGAATGAACTAATGTTTTTAAATGTCTTTTTCCCTCTTGTTGAAATGCAGAGCCAGGCTTTCGAGGACTGACTCCTCCAATTCCTTGGGAACATGCACCGCGTCCCCATTTCCCCCTTGTCCCAGCTTCGTGGCCTTATGGTTTGCATCAAAACTTCATGCATCAGGGAAATGCCCGATTCCAGCCCAACAAACCTTTCTATACTCAAGGTACCACTGCTTACAAATTAGTTAACAGGCTTGGGTGGGTTTTATTCTGGGATAGAGAGCCTTAGTGAAGGCCAGGATCTGGGAGTGAAAATTCATGAATTCAGTAAACATTTACTGAGAAATTATACTGTGTGTCAGATGGTGCTAGGTGCTTGTAAAACAAAATCTCCATTACTTGATGCACACTTTATTAGGAAAGCCAGACATGTTAAATAGAAAAGGAGTTTAGATGAATCAGTTAACATTGCCCTAGCAAATCCAAACAGGATGTGGATTTAAGATTATTACATCACAAGATTTTGACAGTTGAGCTAGATCTTGAAAGAGATGCAGGAATTTTTTTTTTGCCTAGAGATGAGAGAGGAGGAGGAGTATGCTTAGCTGAGGGATTAATATATGCAGTCACTGAGTTTTGCCTGGCATAATGAAAAAGAGTAGAAAATATTAGGGCTAGAGGACGGAGGTATATGGGAAAGATGGTGATAAGGCTAGAGAGGGTAGGCTTAGACCATATTATGGAGTTTGGACTTGGTTTACTGAGCATTGGGGACCTAATTAAAGGTTTTTAGTGGAACGAAGACATAATCATATTTGTTTAGTAAACGTAGGACTTGAATGACCTTAAAATTTATTATGTTCTGCTGGTGCTATTGTAGTACTAATAATGGCTTTGACTGGGTAATGAATATTACAAACAAAGAATTCCTAGAAACTTGGAGCATTTTATCTAACCTACTTGCCTCAGAGGTATTTGTTCTTATAGGCATTGTCTGAGTCTGGCCTTCAGCTCTTTGTTAACTTAGTTCAGAACACTTGGGTCAGAGTCAGTATAGTTAAACTAGGAGTTCAAGAAGTTAAAACAGGCACTCAGGAAATGCTGATTGAATGAAATGATAACTTAAAGGGGAAGTGCCTGGTATGGTCTCAGGCTTGTTATATTTAAGCCTTCTTAAACCACCCATATACTACTGGGGCATCCCTGTATTGTAGAGTGGCAGAGCCTTGACTGTGGTTGAGCTCTTCTCTTGAGCAAAGAACTGGGGCTGAAGGAAGTTACTATTAGTCATAAGCCCTTTTAGGAGGGGAGAGTCTGCAACTCTTTTCTAGTGGGTTTTTTCCCTTTGATTCCTCCTCTCCATCTTTCGTGTCCTCTCCTTTTTTCACATACAGGTATTTCCTTCCCTTCTTCATTTTTCTCCCCACCCTCTCAAATGTTTTGCAGCATGCTTTATCACCTCCTATTATATAAATAGAAAAAAAGAAAGCTAACTACAAGTTAATTCTAAGGTGTTGTCAGATAAACAGGCACAAGCCTTTCAGTTTCCTGTCTGTGTTGTATCCAACAGACAGATGTGCCACCCGTCGGTGTAGAGAGCGTTGTCCCCACCCACCAAGAGGAAACGTGTCGGAGTAATGCGAGTCCATTTTCTTTCAGCTGGTCTACCGATGCACAGCAACCAGCCAATCCTGCTGTCTCAAGGGTATCCGTACCTCAATGTCAGTTACATTCAGCAGAAAAAGTGACATTTAATGGAAAGCAAAACAAATCAGGTCCTGATTTAAAATTTTAACACGTTTAGATAGCTTATTTAAATTCTAAGACTGTTTTTACAGACTGTATTATTTGTATATAAATATGAACTATAGTTTTTACTAGTATCACCAAATTGAGTGATACAAATTTCATCTATTTTATTACCCTATTTTTAAGGGAATTTTATGTTTTGTTTAACCTTGATGAATTGTATAAAGAGAGAATTTAAAAAATTACATTCTTTATTTTCTATTAGCTGTATTCATACTTTGGTTGCTTCAGACTTTATATATTGTTCTTAAAAGTTAGGAAAGAATTTCATGTGTTTTAAATTGTCACTTCTATTCTTTACAGAACCTTGTAGTGCCAAAAACTTTTTAAAAGGTAAAAAAATAAAATAAAATTACAACATGAAGATTCAGATTTTTTTTCTTTTCCATACTTGTATATTGAACATTCAAACTTGAATGGAAAGTTGATTTTGTCTGTATTTGAAGTACTTCTATTTTAAGTTAATAAATCTTTTTGACAAGAGTTAAATTTGGTTAATCTGTTGTATAGATGATGGAAATATTACGTAACAAGATTTCTTTTAATTTCAGTGAATAGAGCATTCTAAATCACAGATTTTAGTTTTAGAGATTCAAGTAACATTTCATATCCTTTATTTGGTTGGATGTTCACAACACCCATATGAGGTTGATAGAAGCGGAAGCCATTTCCATTTTATCTTTGAAAATAAAAACTGAAATGCAAAGCAGTCAGTAAATTCCAAAAAGCAAACAATGCTGGAGTCTGAATTGAAAAGTATTTGGAAAGAGAATTTTAAAACACTGAGACTAATATTGGCAATTAGAGTGGAGGGAAGATTACTTTTTTTTTTTTTTTTTTTTGAGATAGAGTCTGTCTGTCACCCAGGCTGCAGTGCTGTAGTATGATCTCGGCTCACTGCAACCTCTGTCTTCTGGGTTTGAGCGATTCTCCTGCCTCAGCCTCCCGAGTAGCTGGGATTACAGGCATGCACCACCACACTTGGCCAATTTTTGTATTTTTAGTAGTGGCGGGGTTTCATCATGTTGGTCAGGCTGGTCTCGAATTCCTGACCTCAGGTGATCCACCTGCCTTGGCCTCCCAAAGTGCTGGGATTACAGGCGTTGAGCCACTGCACCCAGCCCAGACTGTATTCATTTTGAGTCCTATACTTCCACCTGGAAAGCACACTTGCCAAGATGATAATTATTTACCAGTAATACTTGGAATTAATTATTATTGGGTATTGGAATTCAGACTCGAGTTGTTGGTGGCATAATGTTTTAGCTGTTTTAGCAGTGAGGTGAGGTAATTTTCTCTAACCCCTTAATTAGTCCGTCCAGTTGCCTGGGATTTTAGGCTAAATGATGCTATATATCTATTTGGAAAGGTGCAGAATAAGTAGATAAAAATGTAAGGACAGTGGGTTATCTTTGCTGCGCTTCCTCTGATATACATTACTTAAATAGGAGACTGCTTGGGCCCTTGCCATATTTTGCAACATGGAAGATATTTGAAACCTATTGCAGGAGGTTGAGGGTATTCATGCTGTATTTACAGCCCTGAGTTAAATATATTTACTATTTTTTTTACCTAACCTGAGTTAGGTATATTTACTATTTTTTCTTATTAAAGCGTCAGCATCTTTCAGAATCCTATTAAGTGGTGGACTTAAATCATTTATTAACAAGATACCTGACCCAACTATGCATTCATGTTAAAATGACTTGGAGCATTCAAGATTTAAATTAACATTCAATACTTCATGTCCTTCCACATCTTGGAGAACAGGTAATGACGTATACAGGGGTGTTTATTATTCTCTTTACTTTTGTACATACAGTAGGCCCTCCATATCCATGGGTTTTGCATCTATGGATTCAACCAACCACGGATTGCAGATATTAAAAAAAACTGTGTCTGTACTGAACTTGTACAGTTTGTTATTATTCCCTAAACAATACAGTATAACAACTTTTCCCACAGAATTTCCATTGTATGAGGCATTATATGTAATCTAGAAATGATTTAAAGTATAAAGGAGGATGTGCATAGGTTATATGCAAAGACTACACTATTTTATATCAGGGACCTGAGCATCCTTGGATTTTGGTATATCTGCGGGAGGTCCTGGAACCAACCCCCCACCAGATACCAAGGGGAGGATTGTATTTGAAATATTCATTAAAAATAAAACAACTTCCAATAACAGAATGCCCCAACCCCTCAGCCTTTCTTCCTTAAGGAAGGCAGTATAAAATACCACTTGGCAAAACCTATTAACTGGCAACCTAGTAACCAACAGCCTAGGTTTTACTTATATGATAGTGTTATAGATACTAGTTTTCAGCATCTCATTTGCCCCTCCTTCAGTAACTGCCAGTGTTCAATAATTGGCAAAACTGTTCTGTTGAAAAACATATAGTTTAAAATTGATATAGTAGAAACTCAGATTTTAAGTCTGCAAAGTAGATTATGAGTTCAGATTCATTGTAGAGCAGTTAAGTAGAAAATTATCAATCTTATACAGGGAGAACACACACATTTAAGACCAAATTGTTTTGAAATGTTCTGTTTAATGACATGGAGATTAGTATTTTCCCTTGACATTAGGGTTATTAAAAATATAAATATGTACTGTATATTTGTTTATATCCCCTACAGATGGACATTTTTGCTGTTTCCAGTTATTCTTATATATACATATTATATATGTAATGTGTAAAATGATGATGGGATAAAGCTATTTGTGTGTACATGTAATTATTCTATTAGGGTAAATTCCCCTAAATGGGATTACTGGGTAAAAGGATCAAAAGTCCTAAGGTTCCTGCTACATATTGCCAAATTGCCCTTCATAAAAGTGGTTATCAATCTGTAGTTCCAGCAAACAATACGTAAAATGTGTTGGTATGCTTATAAAAAAGCTTTTAACTCCCAACAACTCATTTCTTCCTTGTAGAAATTAACATGTTTATTGTAAAAAGAAAATAAGCATTATATAAAAGTACAAAGTTTAAAAATCATTCAAAAGTTCATCAGCCAGAAAGAAGTACTATCTGGTGAACTTCATTCATTCCAACCATCTCTCTTAATCATACAGGCACATATATACAAATAGTTTTACAAAAGTGGGCTCATATGCTATATTTAACAAATATAGCAAATTAACAAAAGGAAAACAAGTGTGAAACTGAAAAAATGCTCAATTTAAATACTTTTTTCCCCACAAGAGAATCTAGTCTTGTAAGATTTCTCCTAAAATTAAGGACAATTACGGAAAACAATAAAGAGGCTATTTTTTTTTCTAGCTTCATGTATGTTTTAATTAGAGACTGTACGTGATTCCTGCTATGAAAGATGAAACCAGCACACTCTACTTGTTATTTCTATATAGACAGTGTTCATAATATTTGACTTTATAATCATTGCCCATTATTTTTAAAGTTTCTGAAGTGTTTACTAACACTCCTTTTACTGATTCTTTGTTCCTAAGTCCTTAATTTGATTCATTTCTTCTTTAGTTGAATTTCATTATTGGGCGGTTTTTTCCCAAAGACTCATGATTTGTACTTTTAAGTTCTTACAAACTTGAGAACATCTATAGCCTTTGTATTTTAAGACAACTTTGGCAAAGTATAAAATTCCTGGCACTTTTTCTCAAACCTTTGGAGCCTTTTGCTTCATTGCCTTCTTGTTATAAGATCTGAGACCATCCTGACCCCATTTAATTCTTTTTTCTTTTTGAGACGGAGTCTCACTCTGTTGCCCAGGCTGGAGTGCAATGGCGCGATCTCGGCTCACTGAAAGCTCCGCCTCCCGGATTCACGCCATTCTCCTGCCTCAGCCTCCCTAGTAGCTCTACCCGCCAGCACACCCAGCTAATTTTTTGTATTTTTAGTAGAGACGGGTTTCACTGTGTTAGCCTGGATGGTCTCGATCTCCTGACCTCATGATCCGTCTGCCTCGGCCTCCCAAAGTGCTGGGATTACAGGCGTGAGCCACCGCACCCGGCCAATTCTTTTTAAACCATCAGAATATTTCTTTATTCTACATATTTCTCTTTTCCATTTTTTATTTCCTCCAGCCTATTTTCTCTGTGCTGTTTTATGTTTTGTGGTTTCTAGTATAAGGCCTTTAAACTCCACCAATCTTATTTTTCATCTCTTAATCTCTTTTGAACTTTTTTTTTTTAAAGAGATCATGTCTGCTGTCTTTTTTGAGCAGGTGGAGAATTTCTGTCACATTAACCTTTTTGAGGGAGTGGGCAATCTGTGATCGTTCTTTTCTAAATAATGCTTATTTAAACTTCGGTCTACTGAAGAATAACAAACAGGAAGAGGTTAGAGGAATGAGCTTGAAGTTGGGTTGTTAATATTGGAACCCTCTCACCAAACCCATTCTTCTTCTTCTTTTTTTTTTTTTTTTGAGATGGAGTTTCGCTCTTTTTGCCCAGGCTGAAGTGCAGTGGCACGATCTCAGCTCACCGCATCCTCTGCCTCCCAGGTTCAAGCGATTCTCCTGCCTCAGCCTCCCAAGTAACTGGGATTACAGGCATGCGCCACCATGCCCGGCTAATTTTGTATTTTTTAGTAGAGACAGGGTTTCTCCATGTTGGCCAGGCTGGTCTCAAACTCCCGACCTCAGGTGATCTGCCCGCCTCGGCCTCCCAAAGTGCTGGGATTACAGGCGTGAGCCACCGCACCTGGCCAAAAATGCATTATTTCTTTTGCCCCTTGGAACACATCTCCCTTACTTTCTTAGTATTAAAAGGCGATTGTGCCCTATGGCAAAGCTTTTAAGTCAGTGTATTTCAAATTATTGGAAGTGAAATCGATTAAGTGGTTTCATCCAATATTAAAAACTGTTAACAAGTAGGAAACACCAGAATTCACTTTGCATAGTAAGTATTCTTTCCTGAAATTTGTCTCAGTACAGAATACAGATGTGTACAGAGGTAAGATGTAAAATACGTTTTTAAAATGTATGCTGTAGTCAAAAAGTTTAAAATGCTTCATCCATAGGCAAGCACATAGATGACAGAAAGAGCCTTACAGCAAGGTTTGTCCTCAAGCTCCATCTCCTGTGTAATTTTATCAAAACGATATCTACAGACATGCAACATGTCTTACTCTTACCTCCTTCTTCTAATTAAAGAATAGGGACATTCTCTTTCCTGCTATTGATTGGCTGTGGTACCTCAATTTTGGTCCACATATTACCATATGTCTAAACAAGTATGTTTTAATGTTTGTTTAGGGAGGTTTATTTCTGTTACTAAAATTTATTGGGCTTTGTGCGTGGGTTTATTTTTACTTTAAAACATATTTTAAGACAAAGTTTTATTTTAAGAGTGTACTGGATGACAGCTTGGTTGGTCCATGGGTCATTTCTGTCCATGCCAGAAGACATTTCTTTCTACCTAGATCACTTTCATAAAGAAATAACTGCTATGACACTGTAATACATTTACGTACAGATGCTTATATTTAATCTTAAAAGGTAGTCCTATATAGTTCTATCAGAAACCGTAAGAGCTCTTTCAGACCACTTTTATTAACTCAGGTATTACGAAAGGAACCATTGAAGAATATGAAAGCTCAAATAAGATTAAAAAATGCTTTAATACTGCTGAAGTCTTTCAATTCTAGAGCAGGCATAGAATATATAGAATGTTTACCTTATGACCAGATACAACCTCCCAAGAAAAACTGGATCCTGCAGGGCAGCTGGTCTTCACAGTTCCTGCTGGGACTACAGTTGCAGAAGTCATTCCATCACTTTTCTCTTTTTAAGGGAGTTAAGTACAGGTAAAGGAACTCTTCTAGCAAAGATCTTAATAATCTCTTGATTATCGATGTCCGTGGAGGCTTTTTAGTCCTTCCTTTGCTTCTGCATTCTTGACCCTTGGCTTCTTTCACTCACTCTCTCCTAATTCTCCTGTCTTTCTGAATGGGCCATTCCAGTTTTCAATAGGTGACTTCTATTTCTTCCTGTGTTGGTGTTGCCTATGGTTCTGTTGTGTGCATTTCTGATATATATTAACACTCTGGGAAGTCTTATTGACAGATTCCACCATTACTTAAACATTGTCAATTCTGGCCTAGATCGCTATGTTAAACTCTGGTCCCTATCTCCAACTTTATGGGCTTTTGTTTTTAGCTATACCATAGCTGTCTCAAATTAAACTTGTTAAACTGAATGCATCATTTTCATTACTACCACCATCCTCTAATTCTCTGCCCCTCTAAAAGCTGTCTCTTCCTGCTGTATTTTCTGACTTTGTGAATGGCACGACTGTCTAGCAATTTAGGTCAAAACCATGACTAATATTAGATACTTTCCTCTCCATCAAATCTTTTTCAATCCCGTTACCCTACTGCTACTGACTAGGCCTGGATAATGTCAATGCTTATATGATAAAGGCTGGATACCTTAACCTGGATTTCAAGCTTGTGGGCAAGAACAAATGAAACTATGAAAAAATGGGCTGTATAAAGGGTATTAAGTGCTGCTCTCTGTTGAACTGTTTGATGAAACTGGCTTTAATGATCCAGAAGCAGCCTTACATTTGAATGCATTCTATTCTTTCAAAACTGCTACAAACCAGTTTTCATGTTTATTACCACTTGCTGCTGCTGGAAAAAAGTTAGGAGCAACTATGTTTTACTCCTTTGATCTTTGAATAACAGCAGCAGCACAAATCCCAGGATTCTCAAAGCAGTTCCAACCACAACAAACCAAAAACTAAACTACAGCGAAATGGGAAACAGGTGTGTCCGGTTTAATAAAAAGGGAAAGGGTCATCAGGTGGCCACAGCCTTTCCTTGTCAGTCATATCCCCAACCTCCAGATCCTTTATACTCTCATAAGTTTGAATACAGTCAAGGTTAGTTGGGTCAAAAACTGATGTTGATTATGATTAAAAAGATACAAAACTCAGCACCTCCTTCATTAAAAATAAAGGTTGAGAAACTTGATAAGAAAAAAACTAAAATATTCTTATAGCTGCCTGGGGGAGATCTTAATCCTTCCACATACAGATATCCTTATATCCACAGGAGGCCATGTGGACTAAAACCAAACTGAGTCCATTACTCATTCCCTCTCCGGCTCTTCTTGTGGCTCTTCTTAGACCTGAAATGGCAACACATATAAATAATTATATTAAGAAGCAGCCAGGCACGGTGGCTCACGCCTGTAATCCCAGCACTTTGGGATGCCAAGGTAGGCAGATCACCTGAGGTCAGGAATTCGAGACCAGCCTGGCCAACATGGTGAAACCCTGTCTCTACTAAAAGTACAAAAATTAGCCGAGCATGGCGGCGGGCACCTGTAATCCCAGCTACTCAGGAGGCTGGGACAGGAGAATTGCTTGAACCCGGGAGGTGGAGGTTGCTGTGAGCCGAGATTGGGCCATTGCACTCCAGCCTCAATGACAGAGTGAGACTCCATCTCAAAAAAAAAAAAGGAGTCCTGAGAAAGACCTTGGTATGCTGACATTGATGGGGATGGAGCTGACACTCAATATTCATTAAACTGCTTGGTATTTTTTTGACTCAGAGCAACACTCTTGAGTCAGGCATTACTATCCAAATTTTACCATTGAGGAAATGACCTCTTAGAGGTTAAGAGTACACCAAACAGGCCCGGCGCGGTGGCTCATGCCTGTAATCCCAGCACTTTGGGAGACCGAGGTGGGCGGATCACAAGGTCAGATTGAGACCATCCTGGCTAAAATGGTGAAACCCCGTCTCTACTAAAAATATAAAAAATTAGCCAAGGGTGGTGGCGGGCACCTGTATTCCCAGCTACTCGAGAAGCTGAGGCAGGAGAATGGCGTGAGCCCAGGAGGTGGAGCTTGCAGTGAGCCGAGATTGCGCCACTGCACTCCAGCCTGGGAGACAGAGCGAGACTCCGTCTCAAAAAAAAAAAAAAAAAAAAAAAAAAAAGAGTGCACCCAACGGTATATGGCACATGGGGGTTTCTAATGAAATCTTATCAAATGAAAGTGACTTGTCCAAGGTCACTCAACTGTTAAGTTTTAAAACTTGGGACTAAACCCCATGTTTTCTGAGACCAAAGCTCATCCATTGTCCAAAGCTGCAATCCTGTAAAGCAAAACAGGTATCAGCTTGAACCCGGGAGGCAGAGGCTGCAGTGAGCCAGGTTCACGCCACTGCACTCCAGCTTGGGAGACAAGCACGAAACTCAGTTCTCAAAAAAGAGAAAAAAGAAAAAGTTATCTAACCCCAGTAATTCTCAAAGCAATAGACCAATTTTGTCTTGTAATGCAGGAGAATTCCTAACATCCCCCAACAAAACAAGAAAATTTCAGGTCCAGTTAGTTGTAATTTGGACTATTTCTGTAAAGTTAAAATAGAGGTCAATTCATTACCTTTCGGGAGACTTTGAGTGGCTCCTGTGTCTGTGACTACGGTGATGACCTGGGGAAGAAAAGGCCATTGCATAAGATCCTACCCTTCTACTCTTATTAAACTGTCATTCTCACCTCCCCTAATACCTGCCATTGGCTTAATATTCTTTTGGCCTATGCAGGGGACACCTCTTAGTGGAAGCAACTCTGAATTAGTGGAGGAAGAGGGAGCAAAGAAAGTAGTAATGAAACCAGTTCAAATACATATACATTCAAGGGCTTTATGACTAATTTCACAAACATCATATTGGGTTTTCACTATTATGTTAGATCTTATTCCTCC
The DNA here is from genome assembly GCF_000001405.40 of Homo sapiens. NCBI lineage: Eukaryota > Metazoa > Chordata > Mammalia > Primates > Hominidae > Homo > Homo sapiens. Next base: position 52,415,064 of record NC_000001.11, on the reverse strand, counting down.
AATTTTAGATGAAAAAACTAAAGCAAACCTTATCAGCAAAGCTTATAAGTGACAGTCAAGCTGTGAACCTTAATTTTCAAATTCTATGTCCATTTGCTTTTCTGTTAGGCAGTACAGTCAGGCACTCCTGTACTGCAGGAGGCTAACTACTCCTTTTACATTTCTTTGTTAAGACAACCTGTGGCAAAAGGCCCACAAGCTTTACCTGGGGACTTGGAACGGGATCTGTGCCGCCGATCTCGGGACCTGCTGCGGTGACGTCTTGGACTCTTGCTCCGATGCCTTTCTCGGCGAGGGGAGGGGCTGTAGAAAAGACTGGTCAGACTACCAGATCTGGTTAGCAATATACATATAACACCAATACCACCACCCCCTCCCCAAAGCCCTATCCTTCATCACAAATGACTGAAGGCCTACCTTCTCCTTTTGGGAGATCGACTCCGCCTATAAAGAGGAGAGGAAGAAGAAAGCCTAGGTTGGCGCACTGGATGTGGTAGATTGCAAAAACGGCCCCAATCTTATCCTTCACGCTTCTCTGTATCACCCACCTCTGTATCCATGTCTTTTGTCACGTAACTCTAGCACCCTCCCATTCTAACTTTAGGACTGGTGACATGACTCGCTTTGGCTAATGAGATATTTGCAAATGTGATAAAAGCAGATACTGGAAAAACATTTGCATGACCGGGTTTGTTTGCTCTTGAGTTCTGCCACTACCATGAGAATATGCCCAACTTAGCCTGCTAGAGGATGACACAGAGAAGAGAAATTTCCCCCGTCATCCAAGCTAAGGCAATTCCATACCAGCCAGTAGACAGCCGACAACAGAACAGGTACTTTAAAAACTGCCTATCCAAGCTCTGCTTAAATCATTGACTGCAGACTTGTGAAAGGAACAAATGGTTATTGTTGTCTGCCAATGAGGTTTTATAGGTGGTTGTTTTGCAGCAACAGATAACTAATATATTGGGCAAACATTCTCCATAGACGTGCATTTTTCCTTCTCTAAAATCCAAACTTCTAGGCTACAGTGCTCAAAATCTTCTGGGAAAAGGCCAATGACTAGGCTTTACCTTCTGGGAGACCGGCTCCTACTCCTCCTGTAGCGCAGTGTGGGAGAGCGACGGGGCTTGTCCAAGTCTCGGTAGCTTCTCCGGCGGTGATCAGGTGATGGCACTCTTTCCAACTGGAAACAAGATGATTGGGTCATTGAAAGGCACAGGCTTATAAAGAGCCATCTAGGAACACTAATTATACTTCACGCCCCATCTTGTCCCAAAGTCCATCTCCATGTGACTTTAAAGCACAGTAACCTGACTACAAAGAGGGAAGCACTTACCCTATTAACTAACAAAACTTATTATGAGCTATATAAGACAGCCAAAATGACTCATAGGAGAGGGAACAGAAACAGACCTGTGTGTGTGTATGTGTGTATGTTTAGTTTATCTGCAGCCTGGGCAACATGGTGAAATCCCATCTCTACAAAAAAAATACACAAATTAGCCAGGTATGCTGGCACGTGCCTGTAGTTCCAGCTACTTGGGAGGCTGAGATGGGAAGACTGCTTGAGCCTGGGAGGCCGAGAATGCAGTGAGCCACTGCACCTCAGCCTGGGCAACAGAGCAAGACCCTATCTCAAAAAAAAAAAAAGTTTGCTTCCTGGAACAACTGGGCAGCTTGGTTGTTTTCAACTTTTCAGCACCGTAACTAGTACTGAAAGAACATGACTATGCGGTTGACATTTTCCCCCTCCTAAACAAGGTTTATTCCTTAGGATAGGTGCAATTATGAAAGTGTTCTTTCTTTCCAAGTATTTAATAGCTGCCACCATTTATTAGGCAATTATAATGTGCCAATACTCTGCTAAGGGCTTTAAGTTTATAATCTTATTTAATACTTTTAACAGTCTTGGGGAAAAAAGTATCATTAACCTCACTTTACATAGGAGAAAACTAAATTTAAGTAATTTGCGTAAGATTATACTACTAGTATATGGCAGAGCTGAGGTGCTTTTAATAAGGAAATATTGTTTTTGGCTAGAGTTAGAAAAAAAATTTTTTTTGAGACGGAGTCTCACTTTTGCCCAAGCTGGAGTGCAGTGTTGCGATCTTGGCTCACTGCAACCTCTGCCTCCCGGGTTCAAGCAATTCTGCTGCCTCAGCCTCCTGGGTAGCTAGGATTACAGGCACCCACCACAACGCTGGCTAATTTTTGTATTTTTAGTAGAGACGAGGTTTCACCACCACGTTGGCCAGGCTGGTCTTGAACTCCTGACCGCTGGTCATCCACTCGCCTTGGCCTCCCAAAGTGCTATGATTACAGGCTTGAGCGACCACGCCCGGCCAATAGAGTTAAAAATTAAAGTCTAAAAACAAAAAACCATTCCCATTTTCTATTACTCCCTCCCCTACAACCATAAAAGTCTCAGGTGCCAGACCTTCTCATCCTCCTCTTCTTCCTCTTCACTGGACTCCACATCATCCATGTCCTCTTCCAGAGCACTAACTCGAGGCTCCAGTTGCTCAGCTTCCTCTAATACATAGCGTTTCTACAGAGAAAATGATGAGAGTTAGGGGTTGTTGCCATTTCCCCTATTTCTTGAAACCTCAACACTGGGCTTCAGGGTTCCAAGGAGCAACAGCTGAGGCAATTTCATTTCAAAGACAGTTCAAGATTTTCCTAACAAGTTTAATAGACCTGAAATCTATAAAGTTCTCCTATAAACATAAATACAAACCTGAAGAGAACATCTTCATTTTCTATTGACTCTATTCCCTGTACCTTATACTCTAAAGTCATGGGAATATCAATCAGTATAGGTACAGCCTAGAACCAAAAGTAAGGGCTTCACACACAGAGAAAATCCAAGGGCTAATAAGTTCATGGCTGGTAGTTCCACTAGAAGAGGCCTAGCCCTAGAGTAGTACCAAATCTCCAGTAGACCCAGGATCTCGGGAGCTGTTGATATTCATGCATTTTGAACTGGTTCCATTTTAATCTGGGATATGGCTTAGCAATGTTTATTTGAGTGGCTAAGGATCAGAGAGGCAAAGCTGATTTCAAAAATGCCAAATGGCTAAATGTAGTGGCATGTACCCGTGGTCCCAGCTCCTTGGGAGACTGAGGTAGGAAGATCCCTTGAGCCCAGGAGTTTAAGAACAGCCTGGGCAACACAGCAAGACATTGTCTTGCTATAAGAATTGGGCCCTCAAAGTAGGTTTTCAAATTTATAATCTCATTCTTTCCACTACATGCCCTACAGTGCCAACATGGAACAGGAGAGCTGTATCACACTCATTTCCTGAAAAGATGCCTCATGGATAATCGTTTATCACTAGGAAAGGGAAGCAGGATGGTGAAGGCAAGTTTAAGGAATTAATGGCTCAGTCTCCCACTCCTGGCCCTATTTTTATCTGTTTTATGTCCTGGCTTTTTACATGAAGATTAGTTTAAAAAAAACGTTCATGAAGTTAAAAACTCCCTACCTACTCTAGCTACAATACCCTTGATGTAACATCCTGAATAAATTTCTTTTTTCATGATAGACAGGTAATGTGCTGACTTTGTAACAAGGTTTGAGGGAGGCACAACTCACACATGCACCTGAACTACAAAAGGATGGAGAAAAACAAAGTTTCCTTGTTTTAAACCATTCACTTTTAAAGCCCTACCCTTCAAATATTTTATCTATTTTCCTCTCACTCCCAATCCACTATCTTGGGACTCCCAGACAGGAAGACTATTCATTAAGAGGACCCATAAGATCCACAGGCTTCAGTGTTTAAGCTGTGTGTATGTGTTTGTCTGTCTGCCCGTCTAGGAAGAGAAGGGTGACTCTGGTAACAGACTTTTATTTCTTACCTGTAGTCGGGGCAGAATGATATCACAGACTCTCTCACTGTGCAATAGTTCATCAATAAACTCATCAACATGCATCAATTCAAACTCTGCAAGAAAAAGTCATTAGAGCAAACAACCTGGAAATAAAAGATTTAGATGCCAAAAAGTAAAAGAAGTGTTAAGACTTCATATCAGGACATCTATGTGCTAGGCCTCTTTAGAAGAGATTAAGGGATGAATGAAGATGTCCCAATTAGCAGGAGACAAACACAAAAACAAGCACAAACAGTCCTGAATTATGTAGGGATGATCTTGAAGAGATCATATAACTTAAATATAATTTCTCATCTGAACCTTCAATGTTTCTGAATTTAGAACATGTATCTTATATGGCACATGGAGTGATAGCTTTTGAGAACTGGCTAGGAGTGGTGGCTCACGCCTGTAATCCCAGCACTTTGGGAGGCCAAGGCAGGCAGATCACTTGAGGTTAGGAGTTCAAGACAGGCCTGGCCAACATGGCGAAACCCCATCTCTACTAAAAACACAAAAATTAGCTGGGCATGGTGGTGGGCACATGTAATCCCAGCTACTCAAGAGGCTGAGGCAGGAGAATTATTTGAACCTGGGAGGCAGAGGTTGCAGTGACCTGAGACCACACCACTGCACTCCAGCCTGGGCAACAGAGTGAGACTCCATCTCAAAAAAAAAAAAATTATATGTCTATATATATGTGTGTGTGTGTGTATATATATATATACATCTATATATATATAAAAGTATCATTAACCTCACTTTACATAGGAGAAAACTAAATTTAAGTAATTTGCGTAAGATTATACTACTAGTATATGGCAGAGCTGAGGTGTTTTTAATAAGGAAATATTGTTTTTGGCTAGAGTTAGAAAAAAAATTTTTTTTTGAGACGGAGTCTCACTTTTGCCCAGGCTGGAGTGCAGTGGTGCAATCTTGGCTCACTGCAACCTCCGCCTCCCGGGTTCAAGCAATTCTGCTGCCTCAGCCTCCTGGGTAGCTGGGATTACAGGCAATTTATATTATATATAAATTATGTTATATATAAATTATGTTATATATAAATTATATATGATTATGTATATTTATATATTTGTATGTAAATATAATTATAAAATGTATATATATGTGTGTGTATATACACATATACAAATACATATATATACATACATACATATACATATATAGCTTTTGAGAACTTCCATGGTAAACATTACCTTACTTCTGGGGTTCTCAACCATGGGCAATTTTGCACATGCCCATCCCCCTACTTAGAAGGAGGTGTTACTTCCATCTAGTGGGTAGAGGCTAGAGATACTGCTACTCATTCTATGATGCACAAGCCAATCCTCACACAAAAGTTATATGACCCAAAATGTCAATAGGTTCAGAAATTCTTAGTTTTACGTAATAAAATAATAAATAAATAACTCCATCATGGCCATGACCATGTCCATCTTGTTCACCATGGTATTTACACCACATAGCACAGTATGTGACATGTCAATGGCACTTAATATGTATTTATTCAATGAATGAATCAATAAGTTTAAAGTATAATACCAAATTCTATTTTTTTAAGATGGAGTCTTGCTCTGTCGCCCAGGCTGGAATACAGCGGCGTGATCTCGGCTCACTACAATCTCCGCCTCCTGGTTCAAGGGATTCTCCTGCCTCAGCCTCCTGAGTAGCTGGGATTACAGGTGTGCACCTCCACACCCTGCTAATTACTGTAGTTTTAGTAGATATAGGGTTTCACCATACTGACGAGGCTGGTCTCAAACTCCTGACCTCAAGTGATCTGCCCATGTTGGCCTCCTAAAGTGCTGGGATTAGAGGTGTGAGACACCGTGCTTGGCCCCAAATTCTTAACCTTCTACTGTTTAATGATACATGTAGGGGGAAAGGTAAATGTTCCTATCTTCTGTTATGACACCAAGTGAGAAAAGGTTTTGACTGCATTACCTGGAATCCCTCCTTAGCACATTAAGTAATCTCCTTGTAGAAGGTATGGAGCTGCCTCTCTTGGATATACTTATTTTTCAGTGGGATTCCTGTATAAAAATGAGTAGTCTTATATGCTGCAGTGTGAATTACAGTGTTAGAGGAGAGGCCAGTAGAAAGAACTGTGAAGATGTAAAATATGGAAAACTAATTTTGTCTGAGAGGGCTGGGGAAGGTTTTTATGGAGAAGCCATTCTGCAGCTAGATCTTTTGGGATGGAGCACATGTAAAGGGGGCATATGATGCAAGGCAGGGATTAACATAAGATGCACTTGGAAAGGGAGACAGACAGAGGCAGGCTGGGTAAGGCCAACACGAAGCTAGTAGTCAGACTGAAAACTCCCATGAGGGACAAGGGAAAACCTGCATAGAGACAGTAACAATGTAGATGAAAAGGAGCATTCACACTGTCTATGACAATGCAAAGGTAGAAGTACTGGTAAAATAAAAACTGGCTTAAAAATGACAATCAGGAGACTTAGCACCATACTTACCCCCATTTCGGTTCTGGCTCTTGATTTTTCGATAGTCATTGTACAAAGGTTCCAAGTACTTGTAGCAATCAATTGCAGTGCCTGTCAGCCTCATGTAAAGTGCCCCCAGCATGCGGACATACCTGAGAGACAGATGACAGTGAAACAACAGGCCATCCTAGAAGTTCCTGAGTTTTACAACTAGCTGTTCTCATGACAGTAGTGGATAAACATGTTCTTCTCTTTGGCAGGTAAGAAAGCTGCAATTGTGGAGGTAGAATGCAGCAGAAGAAAGACAGCTAAAATATGGAGACCTGAGTTCAAGTTCCCATGCTACCATTTATGGCTGTGGGAACATCATACATATTGATCAACTTTCAAATATATCATCAGTAAAACTAGAATAAAACCTATTTACCTCACAGGATTACTCTAAGAATCAAAAGAAATACTGAATTTTATTTTATTTTTTAAGGCAGAGTCTTGCTCTGTTGCCCAGGCTGCAGTGCAGTGGCACGATCTTGGCTCACTGCAACCTCCGCCTCCTGGGATCAAGCAATTCTCATGCCTCAGCCTCCATGTAGCGAGGATTACAGGCGCCCGCCACCATGCCCAGCTAATTTTTGTATTTTTATTTATGTATTTATTTATTTCTTGAGACAGAATCTTGCTCTGTTGCCCAGGCTGGAGTGCAGTGGCACGATCTCAATTCACTGCAGCCTCCACCTCCTGGGTTCAAGCGATTCTCCTGCCTCAGCCTCCCAAGTAGCTGGGATTATAGGCATGTGCCAACACACCCAGCCTAATTTTTGTATTTTTAGTAGGGACCGGTTTTGCCATGTTGGCCAGGCTAGTCTCAAACTCCTGACCTCAGGTGATCTGCCTGCCTTGGCCTCCCAAAGTGCTGGGATTACAGGTGTTAGCAACCATGCCTGGCATATTTTTGTATTTTTAGTAGAGACGGGGTTTCCCCATGTTGGCCAGGCTGGTCTTGAACTCCTGACCTCAAGCAATCCACCTGCCTTGGCCTCCCAAAGTGCTGGGATTACAGGTGTGAGCCACCACACCTGGCCATATATTGAATTTTAAAACAGAAAGAAGATATATTTAATAACAATACAAGAACAAGTACACATAAACATGACTGCTGGTTTTGGAAAAAAGTAAGTCATCTGGGTTCAAATTCTGACTCCGTAATTTACTAAGTCTGTGACACTACTGGTCAAATCATGTGTTTTCTCAATCCTTGTAAAACGGAGATAATGCTACCTAATTTATGGCTTGGTATATAAACAAGAAATGCATTGAAAGTGCTAAGTATAGCACAGAGCACACAGTAAGTGCCTAACAAAAGTTAGGTATTTTCTAGCTGTTAATGCTTTATTAGAGTCGTTCCAGCCAGGGGCGGTGGCTCACGCCTCTAATCCCAGCACTTTGGGAGGCGAGGCAGGTGGGTCACCGGGTCAGGAGATCGGGACCATCCTGGCTAACGCGGTGAAATGCCGTCTCTAGTAAAAATACAAAAAATTAGCCGGGTGTAGTGGTGGGCGCCTGTAGTCCCAGCTACTTGGGAGGCTGAGGCAGGAGAATGGCATGAACCCAGGAGGCCGAGCTTGCAGTGAGCCGAGACTGCGCCACTGCACTCCAGCCTGGGCAACAGAGCGAGACTCTGTCTCAAACAAAAAAAAGAGTTGTTCCTCTTCCCTTTTTCCTATATCTAACTACTTAAATTTCCTCTTGGGTAACTAGGAGGCTTTTGAAAGTCATAGTTTCTTTGTACGAGAAGCAGAATACTGTAGCAAAGAATATGAACTCTGAAGCCAGATTTGCCACTTACTAGCTGTTTGAACTTGGGCAAAATTAATTAATCTCTGTGCCTCAGTTTCCTCTCCTGTAGAATAGGGATTAAAAGTTTAGAAGGTTGTTGTGAAAGTGAAATGAATTATTATATGCAAAGCCCTTACAGCATGGCACATAAGAAGCTATTATGTCTGTCTCCTATACTTGTTTGTGATTTCCTCGAGAATCGGTAATACGGTAATAAGCTGACATTTTCTAGGTGTTTACCATGCAGCAAGTGCTGTGTTCAGAGATCTGCATGCATTACGTTCTTTCACTCTTATATTATAGTCACCATTTTACAGATAAGCAAAGTTTAGAAAATTAAGTAACCTCTCCAATGTCATAGTTAATGGGCAACAGAATCTGGATGTGAACCCAGATCTTACACCTCTTAACCACCACCTTTTGTTGTTTGATTTTCACCCCTGAGCGTCCAGTGCCTACCAACATATCAGGCACTCACTTTTGCTTAATATGTATTTAGTGAATCTGTGAAATCCTTTTTCAGGGAAAAATTACCAAAACTGAGAAAGTAAAGTAGAAGATTAATACAATCAGAACAGATAAAATACAAACTTGGCAGGGTGTGGTGGCTCATGCCTGTAATCCCAGCACTCTGGGAGGCCCGGGGGGGGAGGGGATTACCTGAAGTCTGGAGTTCGAGACCAGCCTGGCCAACATGGTGAAACCCCATCTCTACTAAAAATACAAAAATTAGCCAGGCGTGATGGCACATGCCTGTAATCCCAGCTACTCGGGAGGCTGAGACAGGAGAATCACTTGAACCCAGGAAATGGGGGTTGCAGTGGGCCGAGATCGCACCACTGCACTCCAGCCTGGGCAACACAGAGAGACTCTGTTTCCAAAACAAAAAACAAACAAAAAATACAAACTCAAGGGCTCAAAAGCAAAAATCTGGAGTGGAACTCTCTAGAAATGAGATACATTGTGTACACCCCTCTTAACCAAAGCCCAATTCTAAACCGCCAAAATTAAACCTCTTATATTAGCTAGTGAACATTGCACTCACTTGAAATCTTCATTTTTGATAAACTCTACAATGATATCCTTCTCGGGTTGAATTTGAAGCATCTTCAAGGTTAAACACAGAAAGGGTGTTGGTTTTATGTTGCCACCATAGACGCCACCCACAAACCTTAACTCCATGGCTTTATCGACTACAAGTTCAGCTAAAAAACAAAAACAATACAGTAACATATTAGGGCTAAGCTCTTCCTAGTTGGAGTGGAGTTAGTTCAAGCTTTGGTTCTCCTAAATATACATCAACAGTGTAATATTAGGAGAACGAATGTGTATTAATAACAGTAACGACAACAGCTAATATACATTGAGAATGGATAATAAAATAGGTACCCTGCTAAGCTTTTCATATTATCTCACTTAACCTTTTTTAACAAGTCATGAAGAAAGTTCTAGCAATGTTCTTATTTCCAGGTAAGGAAAATGAGGGCTAAGAAAGGTAAAGTGACTTGCTCAAGGTCCACAGATTGTCACAGGACATGGATTTAAAGCCACAATTCAAATCGGAAGATTACCTGGAAGACTTCTCTGAAGCACTGATATTTATAAATACTGGAACCGGCCCAGATCTAAGAATAGTAAGATCATGAATTTGGTTTCAGGCATATTAACGTTAGGTCCTTAAAGACCTTCAACAGATTGTGTCAAAGTGTTATATCCGGATCCCTGAGCTTAACACTGTTGCAACCCAGCCTGCTATCATTAAATACGGAATAACTCACAACACCCAACTGAGACAGCCTTCAGAATATGACCTTACCAGATTCATCTGTGCCTCTAATACTCAACACAAGACGAGGCACTTAGCAGGCACTCAAAATTTTTCTGAATGATCGACATACTCCGTTCCAGTACCACCCCCAGAGGCCAGTCGCTAGTCCTACCCGCGCTCGGTCAGGAGAAATGGGCCACAAGGGGGCTGAGAGGCGCTCCGCGCGCTTCCACTTACCTGTAAGTCCAAAGCACTCCTCTTTCCAGTACTTGGACTCATAGATTCGCGTTCGAATGATCTTCTCCACCAGATATTGAGGGTTGGTGCCATGGATGCTGTGCGCATCCTTCACTGTACGGTTAGCCATTTTAGAATGCCTTCAATTCTATTTCCGTCGGATCCTTTAATGCCTCACATCCAGGTTCAGAAAAAGCACCTAGAGGAATGGAGAAAGGTGGAAGAAGTTTCACTAAACAGCTTAGGCGACCATCTTGAAGCCGGAAACACCGTAGTGTAAAGGGCTTCCGCTCCCCGCGTCGCCTATCGAATCAATGATGGCGGCTGCATGTTAGCGGATGTACGTCATGCGCCCCTCTTAGGTGTACGGAGTGGGCGGGGCGAGCTAGTTGGTGTCGCAACGAAGGGACGGTCTGGGGGCGGGGCCACGCCGATTGGCGCGAAGTTTTCTTTTCTCCTTCCACCTTCTTTTCATTTCTAGTGAGACACACGCTTTGGTCCTGGCTTTCGGCCCGTAGTTGTAGAAGGAGCCCTGCTGGTGCAGGTTAGAGGTGCCGCATCCCCCGGAGCTCTCGAAGTGGAGGCGGTAGGAAACGGAGGGCTTGCGGCTAGCCGGAGGAAGCTTTGGAGCCGGGTGAGTGTGGCGTCCAGCGGGCTGCGAGGGACTCGGGGGAGGGCGCATCGGAACCTCTGAAACTGAGGACGTTCTCTGTAGACTCAGTCATTGATTCTTTTAGCTGACATGTACCAAGCGCCTGTTCAGTGCCAGGCACTGTTCTGAACTGTTAAGAGCGTTCCTCTGTTCCACACTCCGATTCCTAAAAGGCTTCCCGCGCTGCAGGGAACTGAGTTTGCAGGGGGGAAGGCGGAAGCCAACAGCCTAGAAGCAGGAGCATTCCTGCCCTCCGCACCCTGATGCTCAGTGATGACTTTCCCTCCATCTGCATTTGTAAAGCACTCTACTTGTTTCGTTCTTTGAGCTATAGTGTAGGAACCACTACAGGGAAGGCGGAGCAGAGGTTATTACCCCATTTTACGGACGTAAATTGCGCCCAGGGAGGGACGTGTCTTAGGTCGCTTTTCGTGACTAAGCAGTCTGGGCTCCTACCCAGATCTTTTTTTCAGATGAGCTCCTAACTGCTGGGCTGTCTGTCATTCACCTTCTTTTCAGAAGAGAAGTCTGGTGGCCCCCTTCCTACTTCTCTTTTCTAACCCCGGAATTGAAGAGTCTTCTGCTGTGACAGTTGGAAAAGGCATTCTTATCCTGATCTATTTGTGAAACTGCAATGATTATATACGATTCTAGTTGTCTGTAACACATGAATAATAGTACCCTCGTCTCTGCTGTGTTAGGTGGGCTGGAAATGCCAAAGGAGTTTCCAATATGACAGAATGGTTTAAGTCCCTTTGCAACAGTTTTTAACTTTAATGGAGGGCAATATGTGGACTTTAGGAGGTTTGTGAATCTGCCGAAATTGAATGCAAAATTTTGCTTGAATTATGTTAGTTCCATAGTATTCATCAAATGATACTTAATAAATAAAACCACTGTACCTTACAAATAAATGCAAGGGATTAAGGTAGTGGGAAAGTGGATTTACCATTTTGCATTTTTTCACTTAATCTTCCATTATCCTAAAATAGTGCCTGGCACACGATGGGTACTTAATAAATATTGGTTGAATAAACGGAAGATTCTATTTTCTCCATTTTGTGGGTAAGCAAATTGAGGCCCAATCCACAATGTTCAGTCAGTGGCTGGGAAGCCTGATTTATTGTAATAAGTACACCAAAAGCAAGCTCTCAGTTACATATTAACATTATCCAGTTTCACACAGTGTGTTGTAAGGTGAAGTAGTTAAGAGCACAGTAATTGCAGTCTGGCTTTTCCGGGTTTGAGTTAAGGCTGTGCCATCCTGTATAAGATAGGATAAGTTATCACCTTGAAGTGATAATAACATCTACTTTTCTTTTTTTTATTTTGAGACAGAGTTCTGCTCTGTCACCCAGACTAGAGTGCAGTGTTGCGATCTCGGCTCACTGCAGCCTCCACCTCCCGGGTTCAAGTGATTTGCCTGCCACCATGCCCACCTGATTTTTGTATTTTTAGTAGAGACGGGGTTTCACCATGTTGGCCAGGCTGGTCCCGAACTCCTGACCTCAGGTGATCCACCCACCTCAGCCTCTCAAAATGCTGGGATTACAGGCGTGAGCCACTGCGCCCAGCCTTTGTATTTCTGTTTTATCCTTGTGTGCATTTTATAAGCGTCATGAAGACATTTACAACCCCTGTATCACTGTCTTTTAATTTCACTTTGTTAGATGTTTTACACCTATTGTTCTGCCTTATTCCTAGTATTTCTAAATGTTACAGTTTCATTTCTTAGGAATTGACCTTTCTGTTTTCCTGGATGGAAAGAGATACGGCATAGTACAAGATGGACACAGATGATACTAAATTGCCTGTGTGTAATCTTCGTAGACCATGACTTCAAATAAAATGTTTTCTTAGTCTAAAATGTATGGGAGTGTAGCAGGGGCAGAAAATAAGTCTGATCTCATTTGAAGGGAGGGACTGACTATGTCTTAGAATCCATCAGATAAATACCAAATATTTATCATGGTAACTCAGAGTTTGGACTCTTCCACAGAAGCCATGGCACACTACCCCACAAGGCTGAAGACCAGAAAAACTTATTCATGGGTTGGCAGGCCCTTGTTGGATCGAAAACTGCACTACCAAACCTATAGGTGAGTGATGGGGTCCTTTGGTTGTCCTGGAAATACAGCTTCTCAAGCTAAACAGTCAACTTGTATCTAGCCTGTTCTAATTACTACAGATTGACCATGAATGAACAGGAGATTAGAACTGATTGTAAGGAGGGTTTTGTTTGATGCAAGAAGATGGTGGGATAAATATAGCAGTTAGTGATGGAGCAAAATTATGGCAGGCTCATAAAATTTTGTATGTAGGATAATGTCATGTCTATTTAAGGTGAGTTCTATATAACTTTTGATGAAAACGAGATGATAGATGTTTTTACTATGTCTTTCCCAGCCCTGGAGATCTCTGACAATTTGACATTGTTACTGGGCAGCTTGACAGCCTTGGGAAACATTTGTTGTGGGAAGCATTTGTTGTTCTTTGTCAATAACTGAGAGGAATTAGGGTTCCTAATAAGACCTTTGGATTCATTACTCAGCTAAAACAATTCATTCAACCCATTTTGCCTATTCTTAAATATAACTGGGCGAATTGGTTTCCCAGTAGGAGAGTTGGTCAGCAGAAAGAAATCAGGATTGGAGAGCCCTCTCCTTTGTGCCCAGGGGATCTGAAGAGCTTGACCCACTTTAAGTTATTTCCTAATGTGCTTCTCTGTTACTTCCTAGAGAAATGTGTGTGAAAACAGAAGGTTGTTCCACCGAGATTCACATCCAGATTGGACAGTTTGTGTTGATTGAAGGGGATGATGATGAAAACCCGTATGTTGCTAAATTGCTTGAGTTGTTCGAAGATGGTGAGTTTGGGACTGGAATAATAAACCATTCCTTGTCATGAATGATTGGGAGGTGGGGAGATTGTGGATTCTTTTGTTCACAGCAGTGTGCAGGGCACATTAGACTGAGGTGGGATCACGTAAGAACTAGCTGCGTCTTCTTCCATCTAAAAAATTTCTTTACTCACCAAAGCAGTATTGAGTAAAACGGAACTGGAAGGCTCAATAATTTAACTTTTTCATTATTTTGGGGAGTAAGCAAGGCTATTAAGGCAGAATTGGGGGGGATGGAGAGAATGGATGAATTTGGGGGAAAGGGAGAAGGAAAAAACAGGTAATTTGTACTATCATAGAGATGTGTCCTTTAGTTTTGGCATGAAGGTTAGTAATATATTTTGCAAGTGCTACTTCGTTACAAGTGAAGAGGTAAGTTGGATTTGGAAGGTGTAGCAATTGGGGTTTCAGTCAGGGAAAACAAAAACACTTAAGATATTTTACCCAGAGGAACTTGTGTGTTAATGTTGGAAAGGCTAGAAGAAAAGGTGACATTTACCAGAGATGAGTAAGTGCAGGAAGCCACGGCTGCCCCTAGGCTGGAGGAACAAAAGGGAAGGTGGCATCAACCAGAGCCTACAAGCCCACATCGAAAGCCTTAGCTGATTTGCTGACCTTCTAACCCTCTGCAAAACAAGAGGAGAGCACAGAAATGTGGGAGTGGGGCACAGCTCCACAAGGAGGATTAGGAAGATAGCAATTTGAAACTATCTAAAACTGCCTCGTTCAAGAGACAGAAGAAGGGCATGGTCATTAGGTAATCCTGTGGTAGTCTGTATGCCCAAGAGAAGGAACTGATAGACTGAGTGGATAAAGATGTTTTATATTACTATAGTCCCCCTTATCCGTGGTTTCACCTTCTGCGATTTCAGTTACCTGACAACAACCATAGTCCAAAAATATTAAATGGAAAATTACAGAAAAAAACAAGTCATAAGCTTTAAATTGTGTGCCATTGTGAGTAATGTGGTGAAATCTCACGCTGTCCCACCTGAAATGTGAGTCATCCCTTTGTCCAGTGTATCCGTGCTGTACAGTATGTGTGTGTAGGAAAAATCATAGCATATACAGGGTTAGTGGCAGCATCTGCAGGTTCAAGCATCTACTGGTCTTGGCGCGTACCCTCAGCAGATAAGGGGAGAGTACTGCACATAGATAAGGAGGATTTTGGACATACTTTCTCTTTGACATACTTAGAAGTATGGAGAAAAACCTCATCAAACTAATGTCCAGTAGAGGCAGCACATCAGAATCATGGGCTTCGGTGTATAGATTCTAGAATCCTCTCTTGGTGCTCCATTGGATGACTTTAGTCTTTCTCTGAAGAAAGCTAAGCAGGGAAGAGAGGATGATGATGAGGCACTAATGAGTGTTCTTTCGGTTGGAGCTATTGCTGGTACGGAGTGATACTAATCGTATGCTGTAATAATAAAGCTGAAGATTGCAAGCATTTGCCAGAAGTCATCTCAGTGGTTGATGCTGTAATTCTTGTGTGTGTGTGTGTGTGTGTGTGTGTGTGACAGTGACAGAATCTTGCTGTGTCACCCAGACTGGAGTGCAGTGGCACAATCTCAGCTCATGCAGCCTCAACCTCCTGGGTTCAAGCAGTTCTCCTGCCTCAGCCTCCCAAGTAGCTGGGATGACAGGCACCTGCCACCATGCCCAGCTAATTTTCTTTTTCTTTCTTTTTTTTTTTTTTTTTTTTGAGACAGAGTCTCGCTGTGTCGCCCAGTCTGGAGTGCAGTGGCGCCATCTCGGCTCACTGCAAGCTCTGCCTCCCGGGTTCAAGCCATTCTCTTGCCTCAGCCTCCCGAGTAGCTGAGACTACAGGCACCCGCCACCATGCCCAGCTAATTTTTTGTATTTTTAGTAGAGACGGGGTTTCACCGTGTTAGCCAGGATGGTCTTGAGCTCCTGACCTCATGATCCGCCCGCCTCAGCCTCCCAAAGTGCTGGGATTACAGGCGTGAGCCGCCGCACCTGGACAATTTTTTGTATTTTTAGCAGAGATGAGGTCTCACCATGTTGGGCAGGCTGGTCTCCAACTCCTGACCTCAAGTGATCCGCCTGCCTTGGCCTCCCAGAGTACTGTGATTACAGACGTGAGCCACTGCACCCAGCCTGATGCTATAATTCTTGCTAGGATTTTTGTTTTGCTGCTGTTTGATGCTGTCTTTATAGTCACTGATTTTTATTTGTTCGTTGCCTGTGTTTAGAGTAGCTCCTCTCAGAGGCCTTTTTGTCATTCCTTTGCCGGCTGATAGCACCATTAGGAAATGGAGCAATCCCAGAAGAGCGGGTGTGTGGGCTGGAATTAGATTGCTGCAGTTGGTCATGTGACCTTTGACAAACTCTTTAAGGTCCCCCGTCACTTGATTTCTTTGCCTGAAAAGGGGGATAGCTGTAGTACCTACCTTGTAGGGTTATTAGAAGGATTAAGGATCGGCCAGGTGTGGTGGCTCATGCCTGTAATCCCAGCACTTTGGTAGGCCGAGGCAGGCGGATCACGAGGTCAGGAGATTGAGACCGTCCTGGCTAACACGGTGAAACCCCGTCTCTACTAAAAATACAAAAAAATAATTAGCTGGGCGTGATGGCGGGCGCCTGTAATCCCAGCTAATTGGGAGGCTGAGGCAGGAGAATGGTGTGAACCTGGGAGGCGGAGCTTGCAGTGAGCCAAGATCAAACCACTGCACTCCAGTCCAGGTGACAGAGTGAGACTCCGTCTCAAAAAAATAAAATAAAATAAAAGATAACACATGTTGGGCCAGGCATGGTGGCTCATGCCTGTAATCCCAGCACTTTGAGAGGCCAAGGCGGGCGGATCACTTGAGGTCAAGAGTTTGAGACCAGCCTGGCCAACATGGTGAAACCCTATCTCTACTAAAAATATAAAAATTAGCCAGGCGTGGTGGCACAGGCCTGTGGTCCCAGCTACTCGGGAGGTTGAGCCAGGAGAATCTCCTGAACCAGGGAGGCAGAGGTTGCAGTGAGCCGAGATCACGCCACTGCACTCCAGCCTGGGGGACAGAGCAAGACTCCGTCACAAAAAAAAAAAAAATTTTGGCGGGAGGTGGTGGCTCATGCCTGTAATTCCAGCACTTTGGGAGGCCAAGGTAGGCAGATCACGTGAGGTCACGAGTTTGAGACCAGCCTGGCCAACGTGGTGAGACCTCGTTTCTACTGAAAATACAAAAATTAGCCAGGTAGGATGGCAGGTGCCTGTAATCTCAGCTACTCAGGAGGCTGAGGCAGCAGAATCACTTTAACCCAGGAGGCAGAGGTTGCAGTGAGCCAAGATGGGGCCACTGCACTCCAGCCTGGGTGACAGAGACTCTGTCTCAAAAAACAAAAAACAAAACCACACATGTCAAGGGTTAAGCACAGTGTCTGGCACATAGGAATTGCTCAGTAAAGTGTCCTTGAGTTGTCTTAACCTTTCCCTTTCCACCAAATTCTTTCTAGACTCTGATCCTCCTCCTAAGAAACGTGCTCGAGTACAGTGGTTTGTCCGATTCTGTGAAGTCCCTGCCTGTAAACGGCATTTGTTGGGCCGGAAGCCTGGTGCACAGGAAATATTCTGGTATGATTACCCGGCCTGTGACAGCAACATTAATGCGGAGACCATCATTGGCCTTGTTCGGGTAGGTGATGCCACCATCCTTGGTTCTACCTTGAAGCTTATTTCTGTCTGCCTCCTGAACTTCATGACCCCAGAAATATTACCGGCTCTAATACCCCATAGGGAATGCATTATTTCCTGTCATCTTCTGTGCTTGCCTGTCTGTTTCATCTCAACAGATATTTATTGAGAGCACGTATCATGTGTTAGGAGCCTCCTACAAGAGGTGACATTTGGGTTGTGACCTGAGGGATGAGCAGGAATTAGCAGATGTATCTCAGGGGGATGTTATATTTAGCTATGACTGTGGCATGCATAAAGCATTGTGAGGCTGAATATGCTGGCTTAAACGAGGACTGCACCTTGAGTAAATCAGTACAAAGAGTGCTAGTTGCTACAGACAAATTTGTATGACAGGATTTCTTAATAAATCAGGTGCTAATGAGCGGCTGGTTTGCAGGCTGAAGTAAGTCACTGGTTATGAGTTTTTCCTGAAGTGACTTCAGGCTCCCCAGCATGGGATTAGGTTGTGATGTGAGGTGTGGTTGTATGCTGATTATGTGGTTCATTGAGCGTTAGGGTAGAGACTCTCGTCTGGCATGATTATCTTAATTTATCTTTGAGTTAAATGAGTGAAGGAGAGAAAGCTAAAGGAGTGTGAGGCAGATGCAAAAGTTGAGGCAGCAGGATGAGTATACGCGGAGAGGCACAGGGCTTGGAGCATCTGGGCAGGAGCACAGTGGTGGGAATAGCAGGACTGTGACAAGACCTCTTCAAGGAGTATTGCGCACTCTGTAGGTAAAATGAGGCCAGATCTTAGAAGGCATTGAAAAATTAGTTTAAGTAATTTGGTCTTGCTACAGTGGGAGCCATTATTGGCTGTTGAGCAGGCGAGCATGTTTAGATAAGTTTGTGGGGAAACTTGGCATAGGCGAACAGAATGGACTGGAAAAGAAAGCAATGGTAGGGTATAAGAATATCAGCTAGGAGGAATCTGTGAAAATAACCCAGGAGTGAGAGGATGCATATTTGAACTAGGGTGATAATAATAGGAATTGAGAGATGAACAATAAACATTTTTAAAATGAAATGAAAGGAATAATTTATTTCACTGATGTCTTTAAAGTGATTAATGATAAAATGAGTAAATACTCAGTAAATATTCATTATTATGTGTTTTTCTAGCAATATGCTATGCCATGTCTATGCGTCTTTAGATTGGAAAGGTAACATTTTAGGTACAGATGTGGACTTCAATGTTTTTAATTGTAGCTCTGATGGAATACTCCTTGGCTCTCTTGGGGCTCATCTCTTCCTACTTATCTATACTTCCTAAATTCAGGTGATACCTTTAGCCCCAAAGGATGTGGTACCGACGAATCTGAAAAATGAGAAGACACTCTTTGTGAAACTATCCTGGAATGAGAAGAAATTCAGGCCACTTTCCTCAGAACTATTTGCGGAGTTGAATAAACCACAAGAGAGTGCAGCCAAGTGCCAGAAACCCGTGAGAGCCAAGAGTAAGAGTGCAGAGAGCCCTTCTTGGACCCCAGCAGAACATGTGGCCAAAAGGATTGAATCAAGGCACTCCGCCTCCAAATCTCGCCAAACTCCTACCCATCCTCTTACCCCAAGAGCCAGAAAGAGGCTGGAGCTTGGCAGTAAGTTGTGGAATGGATCACCGTGGGCAATACTGGGGCTAAAGGGTTATGTGATAAAAATGATAATTTATGGGAAAGTATTGAGTTAGTGATCACAGTGCACTATAGCCTGGAACTCAAGTGATCATGCTCAAGCAATCCTTCTGCCTCAGCCTCCCCAGTAGCTGGGACTACAAGGGTACATCACTGCACTTGGCTCCATTTTCTGGGTTTTTTTGTTTTTGTTTTTTGAGACAGAGTCTTGCTGTGTCACCCAGGTTGGAATGCAATGGCACAATCACGACTTATTGTAGGCTTGACCTCTTGGGCTCAAATGATCCTCCTTCCTCAGTCTCCCAAGTAGCTGGGACTACAAGTGTGTACCACTATGCCTGGCTAATTTTATTTTAATTTTTTGTAGCAAGAGGGTCTTGCCATGTTGCCCAGGCTGGTCTCAAAGTCCTGGGCTCAAGTGATCCACCCGCCTTGGCCTCCCAAAGTGCTGGGATTACAGGCATGAGCCACCATGCCCAACTATCAAAGTTTGTGTTTAATTTTAGGACTTCTCCCTTTTTTTATTTAATTTTTTAAATATGTGAAACATTAATATAATTCGAGTCAAAACTACTTAAATGTACCCAGAAAAGCACTACTCCTTTCCTTGTCCTCCAACCCTGCTTACTCCACCTTCTATATGTTAATTAATTGTTTCCCTTTCTGGTTTATCTTTCCTATGTTTCGTTTTGGAAAAATCAGCAGATACATATACATATATGTATACCTATATGCAGACACACATATATTTTTATTTTTCGTTTTCTTACCAAAAGGGTAGTATACTGGATATATTCTTTTCCAACTTGCTTTTTCCCCTTACAATGTATCTGAAACTCACCCCACAGCCTTTCTGAGAGCTCATCCTCATCTTGTTGTAGTCATTCATCCTTTTTTGAATTTTTTGTGTAGGTGTCAACTTCAAGTATAAGTTACTTGTATTCTTGATAGCTCTATAGTACAGTATGTGTTTTAGGAGCTGAATATAAATGTATAAAACATTTAGAAAATGCAGCACAAATATTAACTAATCTGTAATATCACCTTCAGAAATTAAGGGGCTGACTGGGCATGGTGGCTCACACCTGTAGTCCCAACACTTTTGGAGGCCGAGGCGGGTGGATCAACTGAGGTCAGGCATTTGAGACCAACCTGGTCAACATGGTGAAACCCCGTCTCTACTAAAAATGCAAAAAATTAGCCAGGTGTGGCAGCACATACCTGTAATCCCAGCTACTCGGGAGGCTGAGGCAGGAGAATCTCTTGAACCTGGGAGGCACAGGTGGCAGTGAGCTGAGATCACGCTATTGCACTCCAGTCTGAGCAACAGAGCAAGACTCTGTCTCAGAAAAAAAGAAAGAAAGAAACAAGGGAGTTTTTCTTTTTTTTTTCTTTAGGTCCTCATATGTCCCCTCTTCTTCCTCTTTCAACTCTGTTGAAATTTTACCTTTCTTTCAAGGTATGTCTCAAAAGCCATCTTTATGAGCACTCAGGTGCTTCTGGACACTTATTTCACTTTATGTAATATAATAGGCAGTCATGTGTATCATCTGTTAGACTAGAGTGTTTTTTGTGTTGGAACCAGGATTGAGCCTCATTCAGCTTTTGTTTAACCTCAGCCCCTGGCACACGCCTGCCTTTTTAACTGCTCAGTTGGTATCTGCAAATGAGCAGCTGGGGTCCTTGGTGCTGTGGTCCTCGTGATGAGGGAGCAATTCCAGACAGTTTTGTGTATTCACAGAACCAGTGGATTGTCCCCAGGAACCCCACTTCTCTCTATTGGCAGATATAATCTGGGTTAAGAAAAATCTTGGCCTCATTGTTACTTGATAGCATCTCTAGTATAAATCTCTTCAAATGTCATTGAGTTAGGGTTGAAGGCATGCGATGTCACCCCTGATTGAGACCCACTGTTCTGATAGGTTATTTCAGGGAAACCTGTTAGAGATGAGAAAACACTCCATTTATCTGCAAAAGCTGACTTAAAAGTTGACTTATGGTTCTAACTAGGAAAATCACTCCTAAAATTTAGGTGAGAGATGAAAAATTATTAGAGCTACCTGGGCTGGAGAAAGCAAGCCTGGAATGATTAAAAATATAGATAATTCCTGTTTTACATATAACTCAGTGGCTGAATTTGGCTGTGATGAGATTGTGGGTTTGTATATTGTTAGGTAAAAAATTTACACATTGTGATGATTTCTCTTAGACTTAGGTAACCCTCAGATGTCCCAGCAGACTTCATGTGCCTCCTTGGATTCTCCAGGAAGAATAAAACGGAAAGTGGCCTTCTCGGAGATCACCTCACCTTCTAAGAGATCTCAGCCTGATAAACTTCAAACCTTGTCTCCAGCTCTGAAAGCCCCAGAGAAAACCAGAGAGACTGGACTCTCTTATACTGAGGATGACAAGAAGGCTTCACCTGAACATCGCATAATCCTGAGAACCCGAATTGCAGCTTCGAAAACCATAGACATTAGAGAGGAGAGAACACTTACCCCTATCAGTGGGGGACAGAGATCTTCAGTGGTGCCATCCGTGATTCTGAAACCAGAAAACATCAAAAAGAGGTGACCAGGGACATTACCCACAGAGCAAATTGAAATCCTTCACATCACGTGAAGTATGTGAGTCATAGTCAAAAAAGTTAGAACAGTAGTTGAAAAACCTATGTCACAGAAGTATTGGGGAGCTTTCTTAAAATACAGATTTCTAGGCCTCTTCCCACACCTAGTGAGTCAGACTCCAAGCACTGGCCCTAGGAATCTGTATTTGGAAATGCTCTTCAGATGGTTCCAGTATACCGAGCTGTTATTTGGGGATCATTGCTATAGAAGATAACTTCCCAAACCTGCATTGCTATCCAGTTTGGGATTTCATTAGTTCCTGTGGCTTTTTGCCACACTTTAACAGTCATTTTTTAAAGCAGTTTTTCATTGTTGTTGTTGTTTCATTTTATTTCAATAGTTTTTGGGGAACAGGTGGTCTTCGGTTACATGGGTAAGTTCTTAAGTGGTGATTTCTGAGGTTTTGGTGCACCTGTCACCTGACCAGTGTACATTGTACCCTATATGTAGTCTTTTATCCCTCACCCACCTTCCACCCTTCCCCGAGTCCCCAAAGTCCCTTATATCATTCTTATGCCTTTGCATCCTCATAGCTTAGCTCCCACTTATAAGTGAGAACATATGATATTTGGTTTTCCATTTCCAAGTCACTTCACTTAGAATAATGGTCTCATCTCCATCCAAGTTGCTGGAAGTGCCATTATTTCATTGTTTTATGGCTGAGTAGTATTCCATGGTAAATATGTACCACATTTTCTTTATCCACTCATTGGTTGATGGGTATTTAGGCTGGTTCCATATTTTTGCAATTGCAAATTGTACTGCTATAAACATGCGTGTGCATGTGTCTTTTTTTTAATATAATGACTTCTTTTCCTTTGGGTAGATACCCAGGAGTGGGATTGCTGAATCAAATGGTGGATCTACTTTTAGTTATTTAAGGAGTCTCCACACTGTTTTCTATAGTGGTTGTACAAGTTTACATTCCCACCAGCAGTGTAGAAGTGTTCCCTTTTCTGGCTGGGCGCGGTGGCTCACTCCTGTAATCCTAGCACTTTGGGAGGCCGAGGCGGGCGGATCACAAGGTCAGGAGATCAAGACCATCCTGGCTAACACAGTGAAACCCTATCTCTACTAAAACATAAAAAATTAGCCGGGCTTGGTGGTGGGCGCCTGTGGTCCCAGCTACTTGGGAGGCTGAGGCAGGAGAATGCTGTGAACCTGGGAGGCGGAGTTTGCAGTGAGCGGAGGTCGCGCCACTGCACTCCAGCCTGGGCGACAGCGAGACTCCATCTCAAAAAAAAAAAAGAAGTGTTCCCTTTTCACCACATCCACACCAACATCTATTATTTTTTGATTTTTTAAATTATGGCCATTCTAACAGGAATAAGGTGGTATTTCATTGTGGTTTTAATTTGCATTTCCCTGATAATTAGTGCTGTTGAATATTTTTTCATATGTTTGCTGGCTGTTTCTGTATCTTCTTTTGTGAATTGTCTATTCATGTCCTTTGCCTACTTTTTTTTTTTACCTTTTGTTTTTTTTTTTGAGCGGGAGTCTTGCTCTGTTGCCCAGGCTAGAGTGCAGTGGTGCGATCTTGGCTCACTACAACCTTTGCCTCCTGGGTTCAAGCAATTCTCCTGCCTCAACCTCCTGAGTAGCTGGGACTATAGGCACTCACCACCACGCCCGACTAATTTTTGTATTTTAGTAGAGGTGGGATTTCACCATGTTGGCTAGGCTAGTCTCGAACTCCTGATCTCAAGTGATCCACCCATCTCAGCCTCCCAGAGTGCTGGGATTATAGGCGTGAGCCACCGCACCCAGCTCTTTGCCCACTTTTTGATGGGATTATTTGTTTTTTTCTTGCTGATTTGTTTGAGTTCCTTGTAGATTCTGGGTATTAGTCCTCTGTTGGATGCATAGTTTGCAAATATTTTCTCCCACTCTGTGGGTTGTCTGCTGATTATTTCTTTTGCTGTGCAGAAGCTTTTTAGTATCATTAGGTCCCATTTATTTATTGTTGTTTTTGTTGCATTTGCTTTTGGGGTTCTAAGTCATGAATTCTTTGCCTAACAATGTCTAGAAGACTTTTTCCAATGTTATCATCTAGATTTTTTTTTTTTTTTTTTTGAGATGGAGTCTCACTCTGTCTGACGCCCAGGCTGGAGTGCAGTGGCATGATCTCAGCTCACTGCAACCTCTGCCTCCCGGGTTCAAGCAATTCTTCTGCCTCAGCCTCCTGAGTAGCTGGGACTACCAGCGCGAGCCACTACACCTGGCTAATTTTTGTATTTTTAGTAGAGACGGGGTTTCACCATATTGGCCAGGCTGGTCTCGAACTCCTGACCTTGTGATCCACCTGCCTCAGCCTCCCAAAGTACTGGGATTACAGGCGTGAGCCACTGCGCCTGCCCGTTATCTTCTAGATTTTTTATGGTTTCAGGTTTTAGATTTAAGTCTCTGATCCATCTTGAGTTGATTTTTGTATAAGATGAGAGATGAGGATCCAGTTTCTTTCTTCTTCTTTTTTTTTTTTTTTTTCTTTTTTTGGAGACAGAGTTTTGCTGTTGTTGTCCAGGCTGGAGTGCAATGGCACGATCTCGGATTACTGCAACCTCCGCCTCCCGGGTTCAAGCGATTCTCCTGCCTCAGCCTCCCGAGTAGCTGAGATTACAGGCACCTGCCACCATACCCAGCTAATTTTTTGTATTTTTAGTAGAGACAGGGTTTCACTGTGTTGGCCAGGCTGATCTCAAACTCCTGACCTCAGGTGATCCACCCACCTCGGCTTCCCATTTTTGTATTTTTAGTAGAGACAGGGTTTCACCATGTTGGCCAGGCTGATCTCAAACTCCAGACCTTAGGTGGTCCACCCACGTCGGCCTCCCAAAGTGCTGGGATTACAGGCGTGAGCCACCATGGCCGGCCCCAGTTTCATTCTTCTACATGTGGCTTGCCAATTATTCCAGCACTATTTGTTGAACAGGGTGTCCTTTTCCCACTTTATGTTTTTGTTTGCTTTGTCGAACATCAGTCGGCTATAAGTATTTGGCTTTATTTCTGGGTTCTCCGTTCTGTTCCATTGGTCTACGTGCCTATTTTTATACCAGTACTATGCTGTTTTGGTAACTATATCCTTGAAGTTATAGTTTGAAGTCAGGTAATGTGATGCCTCCAGATTTTTCTTTTTGCTTAGTATTGCTTTGTCTATGCGGGCTTTCTTTTTTGGTCCATATGAATTTTAGTATTGTTTTTTCTAGTTCTGTGAAGAATGATGATAGTATTTTGATGGGAATTGCACTGAATATGTTGAATCTGTAGATTGCTTTTGCATTGTGGTCATTTACACAATATTGATTCTACCCATCCATGAGCATGGGATGTGTTTCCATTTGTTTGTGTCATCTGTGATTTCTATCAGCAATGTATCAGATCTAGGACCTTTTTGGATGAGTCTTCAGGGTTTTCTAGGTATATGATCATATCATTGGTGCACATTAACAGTTTGACATGCTCTTTTTTAATTCGGATGCCCTTTATTTCTTTCTCTTTTCTGATTGCTCTGGCTAGGACTCATTTTTTAACTGGAGACTATTCTCAAATACAAACTGTACAAAAAGATAAGACATTTAGAACAAACTTTGCTGTACAAATAAAAATGCAACAAGCCAGAAGTTACAATTTGTAGTATTTGCTACCTAGAAACTTCAGCACCTGTTCCATAATAGGTTGCTCAGTAAATGCTTTATATTGAATATATAGCTGCATTTCTGCTAACCTTGAGCCTGTGTGGATAATAAATTCATGCATGCATCAGAAACAAAAAAGGACAAGCACCTCTCCCTGGGAGTAGCATATTTTGGTCTCTAGTTGGGGAGTTGGTGAGTCTAATTTAAATAAGGTTAAGGCAGACTTTGAACTCTGGGTTTGAGTCAAGCTTCAATTATAACTTTTTAGTTATAATTTTTTGCCAACTTTTTAGCAGAAAGAAAGTTTTACTCTTTTCAAAGTATATATAAAAAGACTGGGAGCCAATCAGGCCACTTGACTATCTTCTAGTGCCTTTTGTACACTCTGGTATCCAAAACTGCTTCCCGTGACCTCGCTGTGGTTTCTTGCAGGGATGCAAAAGAAGCAAAAGCCCAGAATGAAGCGACCTCTACTCCCCATCGTATCCGCAGAAAGAGTTCTGTCTTGACTATGAATCGGATTAGGCAGCAGCTTCGGTAAGACTACTCCTTGGCAGGCAGAGAAACATTGCTGCCATCTCTGATATCTATAATCTTATCTCCTAATGCCTCTTATACTGTTTATTTGCCAATCCATTGAAATTGACCTTTTACCTAGCATGTCTGGAATTATGTTAAGTTTCAAATAATTGTCTTAGTCTGAAGGGGCAAGAAATACTTCCTGGGCTTAGGTGACTCCCATCCCTAATCATCATGTCCAGCAAGACTGTTGGTGGGATGGGGTGCCTAAGAGCATGAACTTGGATTCTGACAGATCTGGATTTGAACCTGGGCTTTGTCATTTACCATCTGTGTAACCTTGGGAAGGCAAAATTACCTTTCTAAGCCTGAAATTCCTCATCTACAAAATATAATAATATACATGTCATAAAGTTGTTGAGGGGTTTAATGAGATAATATAAATAATGCTCCTAACAGAGTGTCTCGGTAGCAAGCACCCATGTCACCTGGTCACAGGAGGGACCCTGCAATACTTGTAATCCACACTAATGTTATAGAGTTCTTCTTATTTAGACTTGAACACTGAGTATCAAAAAATATGTCCCTACCATTCAGGTTTCTAGGTAATAGTAAAAGTGACCAAGAAGAGAAAGAGATTCTGCCAGCAGCAGAGATTTCAGACTCTAGCAGTGACGAAGAAGAGGCTTCCACACCGCCCCTTCCAAGGAGAGCACCCAGAACTGTGTCCAGGAACCTGCGATCTTCCTTGAAGTCATCCTTACATACCCTCACGAAGGTGCCAAAGAAGAGTGTAAGGTTCTTCTAGGTTTACTTCCCATTGAAGCATCCCTCTCTTAGTTTAAAAGTTACAAATGCTGAAGTCACAGATTAGTAACAGCTGGAATCTGAGGACAGATCTGTTATATTCAATGCTATTCTTTGTGGAATATTCATGGAGAAGGGGACCTAAGTGAACACTAGGACTGAAAATGAATCTAGTAGAGAGTGATTTTTGAGGTAAGTCCCTTTTACGGTACAGAATCAGATGGCCAAGAGCTGAACTTCCTGAGGGAAGTAAGTACAAGACCCACTCCTCTTTGCATTTCCCACGGAGCACTGGCAGAGTGGGTATCGCATGTACGGCCACCGAGCTGTGGTGTTAGTTTTGTTGTCCCACTTGATACACCTGAGAAACCGGGAGTGCTACTTACATATTGGTAACAAATCATGTCACAGCAAGATGGAAGGAGGAGATCAATGAACATCTTTTCTGCTTCCTGTGGAACTTTAGCAGAACACTGAAAAGGTATTCAGATCAGGATCTTCTCATGTTCGAATGTGCTTGAGAAATGTTTGAATTAAAGTTAAATTGACAGAGCATCTTATTCTTTGGAACACAGTTGAGAAATCTTAATTAGAAGACTTTCTAAAGCTGATGTCCATTTTTCCGTATGAAGATGTGATTTGGCTTGGGTTGAAATCAAAGAAAAATCTCGGCTGGGCATGGTGGCTCATGCGTGTAATCCCAGCACTTTGGAGGCCGAGGTGGGTGGATCACTTGAGGTCAGGAATTCAAGACCAGCCTGGCCAACAATGGTGAAACCCTGTCTCTGCTTAAAATACAAAAATTAGCCAGGCATGGTGGCAGGTGCCTGTAATCCCAGCTACTCTGGAGGCTGAGGCGGGAGAATCACTTGAACCTGCGAGGCAGAGGTTTCAGTGAGCTGAGATCGCACCATAGCACTCTAGCCTGGGCGACAGAGTGAGACTCTATCTCAAGAAAAAAGAAAAGTCTCTAGGGAAAGGAATCCAGTAGATCAGTAGTCCCCAGCCCCTTTGGCACCAGGGACCCCCTTCGTGGAAGACAAACTTTCTACGGATGGCAGGGGCTGGGGGGATGGTTTCAGGATGAAATTGTTCTACCCTAGATCACCAGGCATTGGATTCTCATAAGGAGTGTGCAACCTAGATCCCTTGCACACACAGTTCGCAATAGGATTTGCACTCCTATGAGAATCTAATGCCTCTGCTCCTCTAGCAGAAGGCAGAGCTCAGGTGGTAATGCTCACCCCACCCACCACTCACCTCCTGCTGTGTCCTGGTTCCTAACAGGCCTCTGGTTTGATTGTGTCTCCTGGCCCCCACCCAAAAGTAGGGATATAGGGTGTAGGGTACCTTCAGCATAATAAAAAAGGGCAGAAGCCCATCAGGTTTCTTGATACCTTCTCAGCAAGGCCTTGTCAACACTTTTCTGTTTTCTCCAAAATTAATAAATGTAAGGCCTTTTTGTTTTTTTTTGAGACACGCTCTTGCTCTGTCTCTTGCCCAGGCTGGAGTGCAGTGGTGCAATCTCAACTCACTGTAGCCTCAACCTCCTGGGCTCAAGCGATCCTTCCACCTCAGCCTCCCAAGTAGCTGGGACTACAGGAGTGTGCCATCATGCCTAGCTAATTTAGAGGGGGCTTTCACCTCTGTGTTGCCCAGGCTGTCCTCAAACTCCTGAGTTTAAGCAGTCCTCCCTTCTT
The DNA here is from genome assembly GCF_000001405.40 of Homo sapiens. Classification (NCBI taxonomy): domain Eukaryota; kingdom Metazoa; phylum Chordata; class Mammalia; order Primates; family Hominidae; genus Homo; species Homo sapiens. Next base: position 52,386,727 of record NC_000001.11, on the reverse strand, counting down.
GGCCTTTCTAAGTTTTGGGATTACAGGCGTGAGTCACCGCACCAGCCTGTAAAGCCTTTTAAACAGTTTAAGTGCTTTCTGCCTCGGGAGGAAATGGAGAGATTGTTCTCTCTCTAGCCAGGCTGAAAACAGAGGGTGGGTGGAGTGAAATGCCCCATAGAAGGGAATGCTTTGTAGAAACGCCATGAAGATGAGGGAAGCAGCAGCAGGCTTGTTCTAGCAAGCCATGAGCAAGGAAGAAGATAGAGGGCTGTTAGACTACACTAAGCGGTGACCTGGGGGTTTGGAGTGGAAAAATCTGCCAAGGTTTCTCCAGGTCCCGCACCGTGGGCCATGGAAGTCCTGGGCTGATGCTTGGCCATATCTTCAAATAAGCCCAGGGAAAGATCTAATGAATCAAACCTAGTTTATGCCTCCTCTTCTCTTCTGTATTTGGGCAGAGTAGTTAGGGTGTCTTAAACATTTCTTGTCTTTCAAGATAATATTTTACTTTTAAATAGTATTTCATCCAAACTTAATTCTTTCCTCAGACTGATATTGTTATAAATCCTGATACTATACATACATTAGAAAAAAGAAACCATATTTGGACGATGAACAAAGTTTATGCAATGTGAGGTGAGAGAGGGAGAGTCATGGTCCTTTATCCAGGAAGGAACTAAGAGGAATTCACCACCTCTCTTCCTTTTATCAGATCAGCACAAATCACATTTGCTGGTGTGTCCTGGATGGTGTTTTGCTTTTTCCTTGTGAAATATGTTCTTTGTTTTCAATACAGCTCAAGCCTAGAACGCCACGTTGTGCCGCTCCTCAGATCCGTAGTCGAAGCCTGGCTGCCCAGGAGCCAGCCAGTGTGCTGGAGGAAGCCCGACTGAGGTACTGCTGCTGTTGATTCCCCTTCAGAGAGGCAGGAACCATGGGGCCTCTGCTTTCATTCACATAAAATTAGCAGTCACTGGTCTACCTAATAAAGGTAGATACACTGTGTGTCTATACTTTTACCTATCTAGGTAAAGTGAGTGTATGTTTAGAAAAAAGAAACCTCTCAGGCAGCATCTGGGTTAGCCAGTGTGGACAGGCCCTGGGAGGACTGGCCTTCCCGTCTACTGCCATCATTTCCGCAGGGATGGAAGATGATTAGTCAGGACAGTGCCTCTTTGTTTTGATGCCCTTTAGAACCATATGGAGACTTTCATATAAGTCTGGATCCTGTCAGAAATCAAGCAAAATCTGAATCTCCTGTGGGATGAGGTCCACCCATGTGATTTGGGTGGAGAAACGGAGGCCAAGGATTATGAGGCCAAATGGAGGGATTTGAGAATGAAGGGATTCTCTAGCATTTGAAATTGAGTTTTCAGGTAGAAACATAGACAAGAAACCATAATCATTTTCCATTGATTAATGAGTAGATGGTTGGGGAATGTTCCTAAAGTCTTCCTTTTCTCCCGTTTACCACCAATGGTAGGCTGCATGTTTCTGCTGTACCTGAGTCTCTTCCCTGTCGGGAACAGGAATTCCAAGACATCTACAATTTTGTGGAAAGCAAACTCCTTGACCATACCGGAGGGTGAGTCATGTGAGGCAGGCAGGGTAGTTTGGGGAATAAGGCCCCTGCTAGTGGAATGCCTTGGGTGTTACAGTTCAGCCATACAGGCTTTCTCCAGTATCAGCAGACTAGACCAAATCGTTGCTGAAGCCCAAAGCTTCTGAAACATTTGTTGCCAAAGTAATCCTATAGTAACAGAAATTTTGCCTTTCAGAAAGAATGAAACTGGCCTTCATTGAGTAGGCAGTTTGCATATAGCATTATGCAAACTGTGGAATGAATGATTCTATATAAGCAGGTCCTACTCTGACCAGCTTCCAAGGATGGTCCCTACTGCCCCCACCTCCACATTTCAAGGGTCTCGGTCCTTCCCTCAGTATACATTCCCACACTCCTAACTGATTATAACGTGTAGTGGCTGGCTGAGACCTACCCCACGGGTTTTCCTCTCTTGCTCTAGGTGCATGTACATCTCCGGTGTCCCTGGGACAGGGAAGACTGCCACTGTTCATGAAGTGATACGCTGCCTGCAGCAGGCAGCCCAAGCCAATGATGTTCCTCCCTTTCAATACATTGAGGTCAATGGCATGAAGCTGACGGAGCCCCACCAAGTCTATGTGCAAATCTTGCAGGTAAGCAGAGCTGTTTAGGCTTTTTGGAAAATGCTGTTTCTTCGTGACACATGAAAAAGGAAAGAGTTACTTAATTTTGCGTGTATTGCATGTTCATGATATACCAGGCATTGTCCTTTCTGTAGAGGTAGCAAGGGCAAGGAAGACAGAATTCTTACCCTAAGAGACTTCAAAGTCTAGGAGCTGGATAATGATTACAAGCCAGGAAGCCAGTACTTACCCACATGGTGAAAACTGTGAGCTTACAGGTAGCAGTGTGGCAACATGGAAAAGGGGTCCGTGGCAGGCCAGAGGTTAAGCCTTGCTCTTTGTCCATGGGCTGTTATTTTGGAGCAGGTAACATCCAGTTATAGAATTCTGTAATAGTGATTTTAAGGGGGCTTCTGGCCCAGCCTGTGACTCATTTGCATTTCAAACTCATATACCTTCTTTATCTTCTCTTTCGGTGCCTTCTCTTGTCCTTCCAAGTAAAGGTTAAGACTAGATTGGGAGGCAGAATATAGGATACCGAAGTCCTCAGGTTAAATGCCTCCCTCCATTTGCAGATTTAACTTTAAGCCCAAGGGAGTAAGACCCTTACAGTTCCTCACAACTGTGTTTCTCCTAATGCAGAAGCTAACAGGCCAAAAAGCAACAGCCAACCATGCGGCAGAACTGCTGGCAAAGCAATTCTGCACCCGAGGGTCACCTCAGGAAACCACCGTCCTGCTTGTGGATGAGGTGAGGTGCCCATGGGCGGACAGGAGAAGAAACAGGGCTGTACCTCAGGAGCAAGTGCTGGATGGGAGGGAGGAAAGTCCTGGCTCCCTTCTCCATTCATATGAGCCCATTTTCTGGTGCTGAGAGGCGTGTGTCAATGGATTGTTTTGGTGCTATGACTTGGGAAACATGCAGCTAAAGCAGTGGTTATAGGTCTTCATTTTGAAGCACCAGCTCAGTCTCTGTGATTGACTCTGCACCTCTCTCCTTTGCCCTGGCAGCTCGACCTTCTGTGGACTCACAAACAAGACATAATGTACAATCTCTTTGACTGGCCCACTCATAAGGAGGCCCGGCTTGTGGTCCTGGCAATTGCCAACACAATGGACCTGCCAGAGCGAATCATGATGAACCGGGTGTCCAGCCGACTGGTAGGTTCTAGGGCAGTTCCCATGCTGTTCTTGCAGATCTGTAAGCTTGGCCAAGAAGTTCTGCAAAAATGGTCCAGGTGTGGTGGCTCACGCCTGTAAACCCCGCACTTTGGGAGGCCAAGGCGGGCGGATCACTTGAGGTCAGGAGTTCAAGACCAGCCTGGCCAACACAGTGAAACCCCGTCTCTACTAAAAATACAAAAATTAGCCAGGCTAATTTTTACTTAGGAAGCTGAGGCAGGAGAATTGCTTGAACTCCGGAGGCAGAGTTTGCATTGAGTTGAGATCGTGCCACTGCACTCCAGTCTGGCAACGAAGCAAGAGTCCATCCCAAAAAAAAAAAAGTTCTGCAAAAATGAATACTAAAATAAATTGGGATGTTAAGAAATGTGATTTCTGCAATGCTTGTAGTTTCTATGTTGGAATATGTAACCATTGCATGATTTTCTGCAAACATCATATCTTGGTGTTCTGCTGCTCGTGGACTTTTAAACTGCACCAAACCATGGAGGTTTAATTATTTAAAAAAAAAATGTTTTAGGCTGGGCACAGTGGCTCACGCCTGTAATCCCAGCACTTTGGGAGGCCAAGGCAGGTGGATCACCTGAGGTCAGGAGTTCGAGACCAGCCTGACCAACATGGAGAAACCCCATCTCTACTAAACAGACAAAAATTAGCCAGGTGTGGTGACGCATGCCTGTAATCCCAGCTACTCGGGAGGCTGAGGCAGGAGAATCTCTTGAACCCGGGAGGCGGAGGTTGCGGTGAGCCAGGATCACGCCACTGCACTCCAGCCTGGGCAACAAGTGTGAAACTCTGTCTCAAAAAAAAAAAAAAAAAAAAAAAAGTTTTAGCACTTATAACCTGCCAGGCAGTGTTAGGTGCTTGGAATAATGCAATAAACCAGGCAGATGCAATGTCTGCCCTCACAGGCCTTGCAGTTCAGCAGGAAGCGCAATGAGAAATCATGAAGAGCCTGGTAAGTGAAGCCAAGTGCAGTGACAATGTATAGCATAGATCTGAAGATCCTCTCACCCACTTCAATTAAAGCACCTCAGCTTTTATCTACTTCCAAATGATTCTGATAGAATCAAAGGTCCTTAGGCCGGGCGTGGTGGCTCATGCCTATAATCCCAGTTTAGGCCGGGCGTGGTTGCTCACGCCTGTAATCCCAGCACTTTGGGAGGCCGAGGCAGGTGGATCCCGAGGTCAGGAGATCGAGACCATCCTGGCTAACACGGTGAAACTCTGTCCCTACTAAAAATACAAAAAAATTAGCTGGGCGTGGTGGTGGGCACCAGTAGTCCCAGCTACTTGGGAGGCTGAGGCAGGAGAATGACGTGAACCCAGGAGGCGGAGCTTGCAGTGAGCCGAGATCATGCCACTGCACGGTAGCCTGGGCAACAGAGCAAGACTCCGTCTCAAAGAAAAAAAAAGAATCAAAGGTCCTTAAATGAAATGAAAAAATAGTTCAAAAACTACTGCCCTACAGGACACCACTGGTCATTGTCAGTAAAGGCAGTGGTAGTCTAGGTATGAAATGTGTAATTTGTTATATGGGACCTGGGAATTGGGTTTGGGGGCCCAAGGGTGACTTTCCACCTGGATAATCACTGGGCAGTCAACCAACTTATTCCTCTGTCATTTTGGCTCCCCAGGGTCTTACCAGGATGTGCTTCCAGCCCTATACATATAGCCAGCTGCAGCAGATCCTAAGGTCCCGGCTCAAGCATCTAAAGGCCTTTGAAGATGATGCCATCCAGCTGGTAGCCAGGAAGGTAAGTCACCAGCTGCACCCATAAATCAGTCAGCACATCTTTGCTGAGTACCTGCTGGGTATGAGGCCCTATGCTGGTGCTCTGAGGTTGGAGAGAAATTTAGAAAGTCGTGTAAAAATATCAAAAAAGACAAGATTATGAGAAATTCCTTAGCCTTGTTATTTTATGATTAGAGGGCCCTAAATATTGTGGGTTTATATGCAAACTAATATGAATTCATTCAGGGAGCAAGCAGTTTTGCATGATGAAAGGGACAATATAGTCAGGTAGACAAACCTGGTTTGAATTCTGGCTTTAACGCTTAGTAGGCATGCAGAAAGTTATAGGAAAGTTACTTAAAAATTTCCTGAGCCTCAGTTTTCTTCTCTGAAGAAGAATGAGAGCACTTCCCTCATAGGGTCATTGTGAAAATATAACAATATCATGTCTATTACATGCCCAGCAAGGCACACTCTCCAGGCTAGATATGAGGTATTAGATGCCCCTCTCCTCCAAGTCTAATAGGAGAATGCTCCCTGAGAGTTCACCACAGACTAGTCTCCCCGGCTGCTGAGGAACAAAGTGGGTTAAATGTCTGCCTCAAGCAGAAAGAAAGAAAGAAAAACCGTACATCCACAAGTATTTCAGCATGTAAAATAATTATAAACTTATTTCTAGTTTCCTCTTGCCGACACACTCTTCACCCTGAATGGCTGTAGCAGCAGCACATGACTGTGACTCCTGCTTGGAACTAGCTACTGTATTAGGGACTGGGGTAAGAGGTGAGCCAATTGTGTGCCTGTCTCCAGGCTTTGCTTTCCAGGAGAGAGATCCTCAAAGTTATCATCTAGGCATTTTATGGGTAGAGTTTTTCACTTTTGCTATTATGCTATCTATCTAGACTATCTAAGAGGCTTTTTCTTTTCTTTGAATGATCCTTTTTTTATGCCACCCTTTTTTTTTTTTTTGAAACAGCATCTCACTCGGTCGCCCAGGCTGGAGTGCAGTGGCGTGATCTCAGCTCACTGCAACCTCCGCCTTCTAGGTTCAAGAGATTCTCCTGCCTCAGCCTCCTGAGTAGCTGGGATTACAGGCGTGTGCCACCATGCCCAGCTAATTTTTGTATTTTAGTAGAGATGGGGTTTTGCCATGTTGGCCAGGCTGGTCTTGAACTCCTGACCTCAGGTGATCCACCCACCTTGGCCTCCCAAAGTGCTGGGATTACAGGAGCAAGCCACTGCGCTCGGCCAATGCCATCCTATTTATTTGAAATTGTCCTTTCCCGTTTTCCTCCAAGATGCTTCTGTCAGTTGATTTTGGTCTCTATCTTGCATCGTTAGAGACTTTCCACAGTTGTCTTGGTTGTCCTCTCAGGTGTAAGGGTGGAGATTAAACAGCTGGCTCTGAACATGTGAGTGGGGCTTATTCACTATGAGATTTGCTGTGGGATGATCTGAGTGGGCCAGTATCACTGTCTTTCCTCCTTTCCCATGGGAATAGTCAGATTTCTCAGTATGCTTCCCCTGTCCTGTCTGGAGGGCAGTGTTCTGGGAATGAGGGGCTGGTGTCAGGTACAGAAGAGGTCTTCCAGTTTGGCATGCATATAGTAATCATCTATTTTTGGTAAGGGACACCTCTTCTACAATAATGCCTAGCATTCCTAGGACCAGAGACTTTTTGCTAAACTTTGCTTGAGAATAAATTTCCTTTGTTTTTTTTGTTTTTTGTTTTGAGACGGAGTCTCACTCTGTCGCCAGGCTGGAGTGCGATGGTGCAATTTCGGCTTACCGCAACCTCCACCTCCCTTGTTCAAGCCATTCTCCTGCCTCAGCCTCCCAAGTAGCTGGGACTATAGGTGCACACCACCACACCCAGCTAATTTTTGTATTTTTAGTAGAGACAGGGTTTAACCATGTTGGCCAGGCTGGTCTCAATCTCTTGACCTCCTGATCCACCCACCTCAGCCTCCCAAAGTGCTGGGATTACAGCCAATAAAACTTTTATTTATAAAAACAGATGGTGAGCCACACTTTGTTGTTTCCTGATCTAAGGCATCTTTAGTTTCTTAACGTCCTCAACTTTTTTTAACTTTCAACCACAACCAAATATTCTCTACTTTTGGCTGGGTGCGGTGGCTCACGCCTGTAATCCCAGCACTTTGGGAGGCTGAGGCAGGTGGATCACAAGGTCAAGAGATCGAGACCATCCTGGCTAACAGGGTGAAACCCTGTCTCTACTAAAAATACAAAAAATTAGCCGGGCGTGGTGGCACGAGCCTGTATTCCCAGCTACTAGGGAGGCTGAGGCAGGAGAATCGCTTGAACCTGGGAGGCTGAGGTTGCAGTGAGCCGAGATCGCACCGCTGCACTCCAGCCTGGGAGACAGAGCGAGACTCCGTCTCAGAAAAAAAAAAAAAAAAAATACCCTACTTTAGCTAAACAACCCCCCTTTACCTCTTTCCAGCACCACTAACTCCTGAGCATTTTGAGGATTTTTAATGTAACTTAGATTTGTTCTTGGATTCCTCAATATAGGTTTAGGATTTGGCTTTCTCCAGTCCACTACACTAACCGCTACTCTTCCATGTCTTTCTAACTTGCAGAATTATTATTATTATAATTTTTTTTTTTGAGACGGAGTCTCGCTCTGTCGCCCAGGCTGGAGTGCAGTGGCACAATCTCGGCTCACTGCAACCTCCACCTCTTGGGTTCATGCCATTCTCCTGCCTCAGCCTCCCGAGTAGCTGGGACTACAGGTGCCCGCCAACATGCCCAGCTAATTTTTTGTATTTTCAGTAGATACGGGGTTTCACTGTGTTAGCCAGGATGGTCTCAATCTCCTGACCTCGTGATCTGCTTGCCTTGGTCTCCCAAAGTGCTGGGATTACAGGCGTGAGCCACCGCGCCTGGCACTAACTTGCAAAATTATATTTTTAAATCTTCTCCTGATGCTTCCCTTCCTTTTAGAGTCTTGGGGTGGGTTGTTGTTGTCATTGTTTTTTGAGACAGTCTTGCTCTGTGACCCAGGCTGGAGTGCAGCAGCACAATCTTGGCTCACTGCAACCTCCGCCTCCCAGGTTCAAGCAATTCTCCTGCCTCAGCCTCCTGAGTAGCTGGGACTACAGGCAGGCACCCGCCACCATGCCCAGCTAAGTTTTGTATTTTTAGTAGAGGCGGAGTTTTACCATGTTGTCCAGGCTGGTCTTGAACTCCTGACCTCAAGTGATCTGCCTGCCTTGGCCTCCCAAAGTTAAAGGATTACAGGTGTGAGCCACTGCACCTGGCCAGAGTTTTGGTGTTTTGTTTGTTTTTTTTTTTTGAGAGGGAGTCTCACTCTGTTGCCCAGGCTGGAGTGCAGTGGCACGATCTCAGCTCACTGCAACCTCTGCCTCGTGGGTTCAAGCAATTCTCCTGCCTCAGTCTCCTGAGTAGCAGGACTACAGGCATGTGCCACCACGCCCAGCTAATTTTTTGTATTTTTAGTAGAGACGGGGTTTCACCATGTTAGCCAGGATGGTCTCTATCTCCTGACCTCGTGATCTGCCTGCTGCAGCCTCCTAAAGTGCTGGGATTACAGGCGTGAGCCACCGCGCCCCGCCCCAGCCCGGTTTTTTTAACAAAGATTCAGAAGACATCCAATTTGGATGCTGCTCTTCCTCAAATCTCTTGCCCATAGTTTCAAAGCCCTCTCTATTTCTTTACATATGACGAAGCGAATCTGTTTTATATTCTATATCCTATAGTTATGATACCTGAAGTCTTTAGGGGTCTGATTCTGATAACCATTGATTCTGCTGGTTCCCATGCATATGTGGCTTGGTTTTCTTATTTTTTTGTCTTGATTTTTATTTTATTTTACTATATGCATGGAATTCAGCATGCTCCTTTATTTGAGAGTTAATTGGGGCCTGGGTTGAAGTTGAATTCATTTAGAATTTGTTTTTTTTTTTTTTTTTTTTTGCTTCTAGGGGCACTACCAACTGTTACCATTTTTAAAATAAAATTCTCCACTTGAGAATTGTAGGAAATACAACATAAATTTGGGCTCCAAATCCAAGCAAGGGCTTATGGTTGTAAAAACTCGAGAGTGTCTGGGTAGGGTGGCTCATGCCTATAATCCCAGCACTTTGGGAGGCCAAGGTGAGAGGATCACTTGAGCCCAGGAGTTTGAGACCAGCCTGGGCAACATATTAAAACCCCGTCTCTACAAAAAATTTAAAAATTAGCCCAATGCGATGGCATGTGCCTGTAGTCCCAGCTACTTGGGAAGCTGAGGTGGGAGGATTGCTTGAGCCGAGGAGGTGGAGGCTGCAGTGAGTCATGATCATGCCACTGCACTCCAGCCTGGGTGACAGAGCAAGACCCTCTCTCAAACAAAAAAACCAACAAAAAGTCGGCTGGGCGCAGTGGGTCACACCTGTAATCCCAGCACTTTGGGAGGGTGAAACCCCATCTCTACTAAAAATACAAAAAATTAGCCAGGTGTGGTGGCAGATGCCTTTAATCTCAGCTATTCGGGAGGCTGAGGCAGGAGAATCGCTTGAACCCCACAGGTGGAGGTTGCAGTAAGCTGAGATCCCACCACTGCACTCCAGCCTGGGCATCAAGAGTGAAACTCTGTCTCAAAAATAAATAAATAAATAAAACCCAAGTTTTTTGTGTGTGCCCACATCCACCTAGCACCAAGGTCAAGTAGGCCGTTTTTCCTGCCATCCGTTCTGCGTGATGGGTCTCACTCACCCTGTACTGAGGCTGAAGTGGAGGTCAAGTTTCAGGTGCCTGCAGGATGTCCTGTTAGGTTCCATGTTGGCTGGGCCTTAGCTTCTTCTTGTGTCTCCCTTGTCCCAGCAGCAGCCCGAAGGGATGCATAGGGTTGCCAAGTGTCACTGATACCCTTGGGGTCAGACTGGTTTAGGTGTTTCCTTACCCCCCAGAGTTCCCCTTTCACTTTGTCTTGAGGCCCTTGAGTCCCTGCTATTCACCACACAAAGTGCCTCTTCACCAGGCTGTACAGGTGGTAATGGGAGGGGAGGAGAACTGACGAAGCAGGAAGGGCTACAGGACACCCTTACCAGTTCAATACTGGGGATTAGAGGAAGGGAAAAATGTAAGCCGATAGTCATGTTTGTGTCCTGGGTTACTTGGAAAGTGATTTTTTTTTTTAGATGGACTCTAGACTGGAGTGCAGTGGCGTGATCTTGGCTCACTGCAACCTCCACCTCCCAGGTTCAAGTGACTCTCCTGCCTCAGCCTCCCCAGTAGCTGAGATTACAGGCATGTGCCACCATGCCCGGCTGATTTTTGTATTTTTAGTAGAGATAGGGTTTCACCATGTTGGTCAGGCTGGTCTTAAACTTCTGACCTCAAGTGATCCACCTGCCTGGGCCTCCCAAAGTGCTAGGATTACAGGTGTGACCCACCGCGCCCCAGACCCTGGCTAATTTTTGTGTTTTTAGTAGAGATGGGGTTTCGCCATGTTGGCCAGGCTGGTCTCAAACTCCTGACCTCAGGTGATCCGCCTGCCTCGGCCTCCCAAAGTTCTGGGATTATAGGTGTGAGCCACCGCGTCCAGCCCCTTCCTACATTCTTGATTCTGGTCCTCTTAGCCATTGACCAAGCCGACCCCAAATTCACCACGTGCTGTAAGGGGTGCCTGGCTATGGCTTTATCTCCAGATAGGCTCCACCTCACCCTCTTGTCTTTGGCTGGCTGCTTCTGGGGGCACACGTCTGTCTCTATGCAAGGAGTGAGAACTCTGTTTGCAGATGCTTCAATAGTGATCTTGAACCAAGCGTCTCTGATTTTAGACTTCATTTCCTGAATAGTAAAGCTGAGAATTTCTGTGTTGTCCACTGTGGAGTTAACTGTAAAACCAAGACAGAGGTTTGGACTAGAGGATTAGAGTCCCATGCACAATGTAATAATTCATTTCTATTCTTCCTCCAGGTTCCCTGCCAGGGCTAAGTACTTAACTTTACGCTTATGTCCATTGCCAGCACTACCAAGAATCTCTTGGTTCTTCTGGGCTAAGGTGGCCTCAGGAATAAAATATTCCCTCTTGTAGGTAGCAGCACTGTCTGGAGATGCACGACGGTGCCTGGACATCTGCAGGCGTGCCACAGAGATCTGTGAGTTCTCCCAGCAGAAGCCTGACTCCCCTGGCCTGGTCACCATAGCCCACTCAATGGAAGCTGTGGATGAGATGTTTTCATCATCATACATCACGGCCATCAAGTAAGATGCTCCACTTCCTGAGCCTTCCTGGAAGGCTGTAGAAACATGTTTCCCTTTCTAAGCTTTTACTCATTCAACCTGCACTTATTAATAACACAGTTATGTTTCATAGGGACATTATCTAGTCAGGGAAACAGAAATATAACCCTAGGATAATAGAATATTTGCCACTTATTGAGCTATATTATAGGTGTTTAGGGCATAAAAGTGCTATGATAGGAACAAAAAAAAAAGGAAGCAGCTGCTTCTCTCACACTGATTGATGTGCTCAGCTCATGAAATGAGGGCACAGGTATTTATGAGTGACCAGTGTATTTCCGGATGTAGTTGCTATGTTTCCTCACTTCCACAGTGACATTTTCTGTATCAGTTTGAGAGTTTGGGGGTCAGGGAGATCCTTGCCACATAATATAGGAGAAATTATTTCCCGGGTTTTCTCTTTTCTAAAGACACAGAAAAGTTTTCTTTGGCTTTCCTCTGGGCTGGGGTTACAGCCACTGACAAAAACTCACATCCCCTCGTTTCCTTTAAGAAATTCCTCTGTTCTGGAACAGAGCTTCCTGAGAGCCATCCTCGCAGAGTTCCGTCGATCAGGACTGGAGGAAGCCACGTTTCAACAGGTGATCTCCTCCTCTTTTCAAATCCTTCTAGATTTTGGACTTACGCTTTTAAAATACATGGAAATTTCCATGAATGTGTGACACTCTATTTTGTGCCACCTAGAGTATGTGAAAGAATACCAGACCGGCACCTATTTTAATGTGACATTTTGTAGAGCTGCATGAGAAGAGACCTTTAGCGACTGGTTTCTGCATGTTAGATTGAAGGCCTGTGTGCCAGACACTGTTCAAAGAATGAGGAACAAGACAAAGTTACTCCCTGATTACAGCTTATGTTGTAGTGGAGTCAAGGCTTTCAGAATGAGGCCATATTTGAGAACAAATCACAGATCAATCCAATCCCTGCATGGGCATAGTTCAATTAGATCAAGTGAGAGGGATCAGTAGGGCATGTGCTTTGTTAGTTTACTTAAGACTCTAGTAATTGGCTGCCTTGGAAGATGAATTGTTAAAGGTGTTTATGAGTGTGTACCTGAGAGTGTGTATGTTTGTGTATGTATGTTTTAGACATCTTTATTTAACTAAAATAAGTCAGGAAAACATTTTCCTTTCAGCTACTTATTTATTGGGTTGGTTGTAAATTCTTGTTTAAAATTTTAGCTACTCGTCATGTTTTGCCCATTACTGTTCTCCTCCTAGAGTCTGAGATAGCTCTTCTGCAGAGAGTGACTTTCATTTTAGTTTGTAAACATTTCCTGAACATCTGCAGTGTGCCATTAACTGTGATGAATCCTTGAACCCCAAGCTGATTTGGTTAACATCCCTGTTCCTGACAAACTCCCAGTCTTGGGGCTGGGACGGGGATAGACTCATAGATATTTAGAATGGAAAGTGACCAGAAATGCTCCAGATTTAGCTGACCCAGTAGAGAACGTTAGGGTAGGAATCTATGTTTCCAGCTATCCTCCTGCCTCCCTTTATTTCTTTATTCAATTTTCTCTCTAGGCCTTTGTGCTTTTCCAAGGGTCATGCCTTGGCATTTGCTCACTGTACCTGATAAGGAAAGTGGCCTTGTAGCAAAATTTGACTTGAATTTTGACAGTCTCAATTATGAAACTCTCAGCCCCTGGAGACAAGACTATTTGTATCACCAGTGAGAGTTACTAGTCATTTTATATCCATTAACTCACAAGGGATGTACAGTGTATTTTATAGATAAAATTGAAGCTCAAAAGAGTGCAGTAACTTGGCCAGGTCTACATATTTAGGTAAATGGTAGCACCAGGATTCGGGCCTGCTGTTTTCTGATTCCAAGGCTAGCATTCCATTCTGCCTCTGCATTTTGTGTACCACTGGGGCACCAACTGATGCCTTCTGGAGTGTTTGATATCCTGGGGGCCATGTGTCTGATTTTCCCAAATGAAGAAAGAAAGGAACAGAAAAAGCCCCAGGATTGTATTTCCTCTTAACCTTTGCCTTGCTATTTGTGTCTAGATATATAGTCAACATGTGGCACTGTGCAGAATGGAGGGACTGCCGTACCCCACCATGTCAGAGACCATGGCCGTGTGTTCTCACCTGGGCTCCTGTCGCCTCCTGCTTGTGGAGCCCAGCAGGAACGATCTGCTCCTTCGGGTGCGGCTCAACGTCAGCCAGGATGATGTGCTGTATGCGCTGAAAGACGAGTAAAGGGGCTTCACAAGTTAAAAGACTGGGGTCTTGCTGGGTTTTGTTTTTTGAGACAGGGTCTTGCTCTGTCGCCCAGGCTGGAGTGCAGTGGCACGATCATGGCTCACTGCAGCCTTGACTTCTCAGGCTTAGGTGACCCCCCAACCTCATCCTCCCAGGTGGCTGAAACTACAGGCACATGCCACCATGCCCAGCTGATTTTTTGTAGAGACAGGGCTTCACCATGTTGCCAAGCTAGTCTACAAAGCATCTGATTTTGGAAGTACATGGAATTGTTGTAACAAAGTATATTGAATGGAAATGGCTCTCATGTATTTTGGAATTTTCCATTAAATAATTTGCTTTTTCCTGAGTGTTTGTGAAGTTATTACATTATAATCATTACAAACATCTGATTATGAAACCAAACTGTCCTTCCTACAATAGTCCTTCCATGTGACTTTTATTTCTGTTACTAGGCCTGCCATTTATTTAATGCTAACATATATAAAATATAAGTACACGATTTACTTGTATCTATATAAAATAGTTCTGGGAGAGTATGCAAAAAACTGGTTACACTGATTACCTCTGGAAAGAATCAGATGGAAAGAATCAGATGGCCAGGGTTAGGGGTTAGAGGAGGACTTTTCACTGTATGTCATTATCTGTCTTAAGTTTCAAATAATATAAATAAAATTTAGGCCAGGGGCGGTGGCTCACACCTGTAATCCCAGCACTTTGGGAGGCCGAGGCAGGTGGATCAGGAGATCGAGACCATCCTGGCTAACACGGTGAAACCCTGTCTCTACTAAAAATACAAAAAAATTAGCCAGTTGTGGTGGCGGGCGCCTGTAGTCCAGCTACTCGGGAGGCTGAGGCAGGAGAGTGGCATGAACCCGGGAGGCGGAGCTTGCAGTGAGCTGAGATCGCGCCACTGCACTCCAGCCTGAGCGACAGAGTGAAACTCCGTCTCAAAAATAAATAAATAAATAAATAAATAAAATATAGTTTATAAAAAAGGAACTACTGGAAATAATATAAATCATAAGTAATCTCTAGCCACAAATAGCTAGAAAGTGTAATTTTTACAAAGGTACCATTTACCATAAAAACAAAACAAACCTTTAAATACAAAAGATTTATATGTCACAGAAAATATAAGGTACTTAGAAATAAATTGATTTAAATATTTATTTATTTATTTATTTTTTCCCTCTGTCACCAAGGCTGGAATGCAGTAATGGATCATAGCTCACTCCAGCCTTAACCTCCTGGGTTCAAGTAATCCTGCCTCAGCCTCCTAAGTAGCTGGGATTCCAGGTGTGGGCCACCATGTCCGTCTCCTAGGAATAAGTCTAATAAAGAGATGCAAGTAATCTCTAGATAGAAATCAATTCCAATCAAAATCTTGGCAAGGTTTCTTGTATGACTTTGCAGTTAATTCTAATATTTATATGGAAACCAACAACAGGCAATGAACATCTAAAACCTCATGAAGTACTGAGGCTGGGCGTGGGTGGCTCATGCCGGTAATCCCAACACTTTGGGAGGCCAAGGCGGGTGGATCACCTGAGGTCAGGAGTTCGAGACCAGCCTGATCAATATGGTGAAATCTCGTTTCTACTAAAAATGCAAAAATTAGTCTGGCGTGGTGGTGTCACCTGTAGTCCCAGCTACTTGGGAGTCAGGAGAATTGCTTGAACCCACCCAGGAGGCAGAGGTTGCAGTGAGCTGAGATCACACCATTGCACTCCAGCCTGGGCGACAGAGCAAGACTCCGTCTGAAAAAAATAAATAAAACCTAATATGAGGTACTGAAAAAAAACAGCCCCACCCGTGTACTAGTCCTGTCAGAAATGCTTGTCCTAAATTTACTGATGAGAAAATTATCAGACAAATCTAAATTTAGGGAGAAACTCTGCAAAGCAGCTGTTCAACTCATTGAAAATACTAATATCACAAGAAAAAAAACACAAAACATGGAGGAACTATTCTACACCAAAGGAGAATAGAGACATGAGAGCTAAATGCACTATATAAACCTTGACTGGGTCCTGGATTTAGGAAATATAAACAATTATAAACATTATTAACTATGTATTAGACAGAAGTATTTTGTAAGTGTTAAATTCCCCGAGCGTGATAAATTTGTGATTATGTAGGAGAATGCTGTTCTTAGGAGATTCATAATGAAATATTTATAAGTGATGTATTATGTCTGCAACTCATTCTCAAATCATTTAGCAAAAATATGTATTTCTATATTCACATATGTATTTATAATTACATATAATGGATTGAGGATCAATATCAATATTTTTAAAACTGCAATGAAAAAGAAAAAATGAGCCAGGCACAGTGGTTCATACCTGTAATCCCAGCATTTTGGGAGGCCAAGGCAGGTAGATCACCTGAGGTCAGGAATTCGAGACCAGCTCGGCCAACATGGTGAAGCCCCATCTCTACTAAAAATACAAAAATTAGCCAGGGGTGATGGTGTGCACCTGTAATCTCAGCTACAGGGGTGCTGAGGCAAAAGAATTGCTTGAACCCAGGAGGCAGAGGTTGCAGTGAGCCAAGATTGTGCCACTGCATTCCAGCCTGGGCAACAGAGCAAGACTGTCTCAGAAAAAAAAAAGAAGGAAAAAGAAAAAAATGGGTAAATAACAAATAAGTCATCCAAAGAAGAAACACGAATGACCAAGAAAATGGAAACAGTAAAAGAGGCATGCAAACCAAAACCATTTCACATCTATTAGAAAACCTTTCTATGGTTACACAGAACAACTGGGACCCCAATACCCTGCTGATGGAGGTGGAATGACTTTTGAAGATTATTTGGTGAATCTTAGCCTAGGAAATGCAAGAAATTGTATGAGCCAGTGTATTAGTCTGTCCTCGCGCTATGAAGAAATACCTGAGACTGCGTAATTTATAAAGAAAAGAGGTTTAATTGACTCACAGTTCCACATGGCTGGGGAGCCCTCAGGAAACTTAAAATCATGGTGAAAGGCACCTCTTCACAGGGCAGCAGGAGAGAGAATGAGTGCCAGCAGGGGAAATGCCAGATGCTTATAAAACCATCAGATCTCGTGAGAACTCACTCCTATCACAAGAACAGCATGAAGGAAACCATGATTCAATTACCTCCCACAAGATGCCTCCCAGGACACATGGGGATTATGGGATTACTATTCAAGATGAGATTTGGGTGGGAACACAGAGCCAAACCATATCAGCCAGTGTGATGGTTAATAGAGCATGCAGACAGCCTATTGTGGGACTATATATATATATACACATATATATATATACACACATATATATACACACACACACACATATATATATACACACACACACACACATATATATATATATATATCCTATTAGTTCTGTTCCTCTAGAGAAACCTGACTAATGCAGCCAGCAATTCCATTCCTAAGTATATGCTCTAGAGAAATTCACATACGTACACCAAGAGTCATATACAAAAAGTTCATAGCACTCTATAATGGTAAGCCATTGGGAAAGTGACTTATTTTCATGCTATGGAATCATAACAGAAATGAAAATCAGCTAACTAGATACAGTATACATGTCAATTTGAGTGAAGCTTACAAACAGGGTTGAGTAGAAAAAGGTTGAAGAATTACACTGTATGTAACCAATGATATAATTTTTAAAAGCTGGCAAAAAAAATACTATGTATTGCTTAAGGATACCTACACAGAAATAGAAATGCTCAGGAATAATAAACACTAAATTTAGGATAATGGGTACATCTTTGGGAAAGGGAGGTGTTGCAATATGGGAGATGTACAGGTAGCTCCAACTATGTTTGTTTTTCTTTTTTCACAAAAATCAGATAGTTTTATGTTGTAAAAACATTAGTTATTTGTCAAAGGTTATGTTCTTCCGTCTTCATCTGTCACCAGCTGTCAGCATCTCCTTTAAATATCGGTTTTTTCTTCATAATGACACCTGCATGTGGCTCGTTGGCTGTCCAGATATGGTTTACAACCTAAATGTATAACACTGTCAAACAAGAGCTCCATTGTTGTTTCACATGCCTGAACATGCTAAGTTAGTCCTAGTGTTTTCTGTACTTCTCGGCAGATCTTGGAGAGGCAATACTGGAATTTCTCATCACAGTCATTCTTGCTTTTGCCACAGTTCTCATAGCACCTGTCGTGTTAGTTGCAACACTTTGTCAGGGAAGGGATACCAATGTTAAGATGAACGCCAAACAGTGGAGAGCCACATCCATTCGGTGGGGAGGGTTTATAACCATAACGTGGGAAAGGCTTAGATCCGTCACTGCATTTATACTGGCAGAGACCGTCCTCGCCTCCCAGGAGGTCCAAGGCGGCGTTCAGGTACGTGTCTATCTTATGAACGCCGTTCCGGATGGTCTTCAGGGTGGCCCTCCAGTCGGTGGTCTAGGCCTGCTCCAGGCACCTGATAACAGCGGCCATGAGGAGGAGCAGGAGGGTGAGCGCGGGGCGCGGGAGAAGGGCCAACCGCGCAGCGCCGGGCTCTACGGGTCCCCGAGCCGCGGCGGGGGGCGCGTCCCCAAAGAGCCCCCGGGAAGCGCTAGGCAGCGGCGCGGGCCCCGGGGTTGCAGCCGCCAGCTCCATAACCACGCCTCCTTCCCGGCTGGCAGGCAGGGCCTCGCTGGCTTTACGTGAACCGCCTCGGGGAGGCAGCGCGGTCGCGGGGACGCGCCCGCTCACCTGCTTTTTTTTTTCCCTTAAACTGGTAATAGATGTCCATGTAGTTAATTCACACAACAAGGAACTATTGAGTGCCTACTATGTACCATGCACTGCTGTAGACACGAGACACTTGGAGAAGCAATAAAAAAATTTCTCCTTCTGGAGCTTGCATTCTAGTAAATGTTAAATATTGTGTATCTTTGTTTATATCTTAAATGTTTCATTATAAAAATTTTTAAATAATTTTAAAAGGAATGAGAAATATGGATGTGAAATCTCAATTTAAATATGGTAATGGGCAGGGCATGGTGGCTCACGCCTGTAATCCCAGCACTTTGGGAGGCTGATGTGGGTTGATCCCCTGAGCTCAGGAGTTTGAGATCAGCCTGGGCACATAGCAAAAACATGTTTCTACAAAAAAAAAAAAAAAAATGCTGGGCATGGTGGCACGTGCCTGTGGTCCCAGCTACTCAAGAGGCTGAGGTGAGAGGATTGCTTGAGCCTGGGAGGTGCAGGTTGCAGTGAGTGGAGATCGCACCACTGCACTCTAGCCTGGGTGACAGAATGAGATCCTGTCTCAAAAAAAAAAAAAAGAAAAAAAGTAAGCAATCAGGAGATGGAAAAGCCCTTTGTCCAAGTAAACTGGGAGATCGCTAACTAGAAAACATAATTTAAAAGTTCAAGGCATAGGCAGGAGAGGAGATGGCAATGTTTTAGACAGAAGAAACTAATCCAGCAGTTTAACTTTAAAATACATTTTAAAACTTTTTTTCCTTTCTCTTGGGTTTCAAGATACAACCTTGAAGCAAACTGCAAAAGCCTTTTCCCTTAGCTGTAAAATAGACCCCATATCCCTCCCTTTCTCACTGTATATACTCCCTTCACATTTATCTTACTGTATGCTAGTATTTAATTATCTGCCTTCTGAGAAGTTCCAAGGGCTAATCTTGAGACAGACAAACCAAGCCTGGAGACACAGCTGCAAAATTCCAAAGATTACTTCAAGGTGGCTAGTCAACAGCGGGGCCATTGTGGAGATGAGACCAGCCCACGCTCCAGGTAGGCTGGGACCCAAGATAGCCACCAGAACAAGACACACAGACGTTGTACTCTGTACAATTCTTGCATGCTTCCCATATCAAATTTTCCTTTTAAGCCGTTCTCTTTCCCCCCAAAATCGAAGTGGTTACTTTAGATGGGAATCTGGCCACTTCCCCATTACTCCGCTCTCGGTTTTTTTGTTTGTTTTAGTTTGAGACAGGGTCTCACCTTGTCACCCGGGTTGGAGTGCAGTTGACAGCTCATTGCAGCTTGGACCTCCGGGGCCACAGCGATTCTCCTGCCTCGGCCTCTCAGTAGGTAGGACTACAGGCACGCACCACCACACCCGGCTAATATTTGTAATTTTTTGTAGAGACAGGGTTTCGCCATGTTGCCCAGGCTGGTCTCGGACTCCTGAGCTCAATCTCTTGTTAACTGGACTCTGCAAGCCGCAGGGAGAAACGTGCTTTCCTTAGAAAACTAGACTAGAGCATATTTACTGATGCTAAAGAGGTTGGTTTTGTATTTCCCTGGGCAAATAATTCTCTCTGAGCCTCCGTTTCTTCTAGAGATGATGTCCATCTTGCAGGATTGAGAACTGGTATAAGCTCCATTATGAAAAGTGACTGACACAAGCTTGGCAGAAAACGGGTATACTCCGTTTCTCTCCTTAATATCCTCCATGCCATTTGATTGCACAGCAGGGTAGGCGAGTGAGAACTTAGTGTTAGACTCTGTAAAGTATTTAAGATGTGCAGCGAGCTCTGCCTGTCTGAAGTTTTCAACGGACCGGAAAAGGATACTTTCAGGTGCTGAATTATTAAGAAACATATGGTGGGCCCCATTTCCATTTCCCCAGGCTTAAAGGACATGGACAAGCAGGTGAGCCCCGCCCCTGTCTCTCTTCCAGGGCGGAGCTTGGGTAGGCCCCGCCCTCTTGCTCGGTGGGGCGGGGCGAGGGCTGGAGGCGGGGTAGGTCCAGCGAGCGAGCGAGCGCCCAGCGCCTCGGGCTGAGTGAGGGAGGAGGTTCGGTGGAGAGGCTGCAAGTGGGCGAGGGCTGGGCGCAGCGACCTCATTGGAGCCGGCCGGTGGACGCCCCGGCGGAACCGCCCAGAGTTCCTGTCCTGCGCTACCTACCCGAACGCGCCTGCGCGCTGCGAACCCCGCCCCGGTGTCACCTGTTGGAGCCCCCCGCCCGCGTAGCCGTGCACATGCGCACTGCCGGCCGCCGGCCAGTGGGGTCACGTGTTGCGCGCGAGCCACCTCCCCTGCTGGCGCTTCCTGTCGCTACCGCTGCGGCCCAGGGCCCGCGGGAGCCCAGGGCGGTGCCGGGTGAGACAAGGCCGGGGTTTGGCTCGGATTCACCGCGAGGTATGCCGCGTCCCCGCCCCTCGGCGTGGGGAGTTCTGGGGACCGCGGGGGTAGATGGAGGCGGCGCGGGCGGGGCAGGGCGGCGCGTCCCGCAGCGCGGGAGTGGGGGTCCCGTGTCGCCTCCCCCTACGGACTCCGTTGCCCACCTTCCGTGAGGCCTGGCTGTGTCATCGGGGCCGCAGCCTTGGAGTGTCTGGCCTCGCTTTCACCTGAGCCGGAGTCACTCCCGAAATCTGACACTCAGAGTCCCCCGGAGCGCCCGCCAGCTCCTCCGCCCGCTCCCCGCCGCCTCCACGCCCGTCAGCTGGTCTCCCCGCCAGCGCTGTGGCGAGATGCGCCGGCTTCCTGCCTTTTCCCCCTACCTTCTGTGCACCTCCCCTTTGGTGCCAGAATGGGGTTTCTGAAACACCGATACGATCCCGCCACTTCTTTCCCAGCGCCCTCAGAATAATGCCCAAACGCTTTTCGGCTTAGAGGTTTTCATATTCTGCCGCTTGCTCACATTTCCACCTCGGCTTGTGCATTCAGGCCTCACCGCTTATGCCCCAGTCATACCAGGCCTCAGGTTCCATTGTACAGGCCAAGCTGCTCCCCACTTCAGAGCCGTCAAGTGTTCCCTCGTCTTGGAATCCTATTTCCCTCTTTCCCCCAACTTCTTTGCGTGACTCAGCTCAGGCGTCACCGCCTCGAAGGAGGAGCCTTTTCTCCCAGGGCTGAAGAAGGGGTCACCTCAGGGCACCCATGGCCCCTGGGGCAACCCCGTGTAGTCCACCTCCACCCTGTAAATGGTCATTGAAGGCTGAGACCGTCTTAGGTTCATTTCTGCGCTCCCAGTGCCCAGCGCAAGGTCTGACACAGGAGGTCCTGTGAATAACTGTGAGATCTTTATGGGAATCAGAATGCTGAGCCAGCTTTCTCCAGAGCTCAGCTGTGAGATGGAACTTTGATGACATGTCCTTGGATGATGAAAATGTTCTGTGTGTGTGCTGTCTGGTCATAGCCCCTCACCACATATGGCTGTTAAGCACTTGGAATGTGTCTGTTGTGGCTGATGGACTGGATTTTTAGCTTTATTTCATTTTAATTCATTGAAATTTAAAATTAAATAGCCAGCTGTGGCTTCCATAAGCACAGCTTTAGAGCCTTTCTGAATTCTACCCAGCCTTCCACCCACCCTGAACCTAGAGTACTTCCCTGAATGTGCTTTTTAAATTTGAGTCCGTTCAGAACATTCCTCAGTAAACCCATTAACAGGTGATCCCCATCCCTCCCATGGCCTGTGCTGCTTCAGTGCTTTAATTAAAGGTAACCCATACTTTGGTGTTCAGCATTGCCTTCTTTGGGAGTTTACTATCCACACCTTACCACGGGTAGCACTGTTGGGGGCGTGGCTTATGGGCTACTCCAGCCTGAATCTCTGTAACTCTTCCATAGGTATCTAGGCTGCCATGATGCCAGGGCCAAGACCTCGGAAGGGCCCTCAGGCCAGAGGCCAAGGGGTGGCCGCTGCCAAGCAGGTATGGAACTTAGCCTTCTAGGCTACTGGGTCGGTTTGGGGATGGGGGTCCCTAGACAACTTAGGCAAACTGGATCACATGTAGTTCCCCCATTAGTTCAGAGACTTGGAGCAGTGCCTCCTGGAGGTGGCAGAGCCCTTAGACACCCTCCTACTAGTCTCTTCCACATACAAGTGGGGAGAGGGTTCAGGAATCACCAAAGTTTAGGATGTTCTGATGGGACCTCAGTGCTCTCAAAGGTTCCTTAGATAGGGTCACAACTTTGCTTGTTAGCCAGGGATGCCAGGGCATGAGGGCTGTAGTCAGTGGGAGGACTTCACTGCCTAGGGACAGATGGCTGTGCCCCAAGTGGAAGAACAGGGGGGTCTCCTCTCCAATTTTCTTCCTTTATTTCTTCTGGGCCTACATCTTGAGACTTCTTAGTCCATTTTTACTGTCTTTAAAAAGGCAGGTAAGAAAGGAGGTGGGGTAAAGGGCATAGACTCAAGTCGCAAAGAGCTTGTTTTAAATTCTGATTGTCTCACAAGACTGTCTCAGTTTCATCTGAACATTGGGATAAAAACAGAATGTAAGCTGGGTGCCGTGGATCACGCCTGTAATCCCAGCACTTTGGGAGGCCGAGGTGGGTGGATCACCTGAGGTCAGGAGTTTGAGACCAGCCTGGCCAACATAGTGAAACCCCATCTCTACTAAAAATACAAAAATTAGCTGGGCGTGGTGGCATGTGCCTGTATTCCCAGCTTCTTGGGAGGCTGAGGCAGGAGAATCGCTTAGACCCGGGAGGCAGAGGTTGCAGTGAGCCAAGATAGTGCCACTGCACTCTAGCCTGGGCGACAGAGCCAGACTCTGTCTCAGAAAAAAAAAAAAAAAAGGATGTACCTCTACCTAGAGTAGTCATATTCATGGAAACAGAAGAATGGTGCTTACCAGAGGCTGGAAGGAGGGGAGGAAGGGGGGTTAATGTTTAATGGGTAGAAAGTTTGTTTCACAACATGAAAACAGTTCTGTGGATGGATGATGGCGATGGTAGCAGGATATTGTGAATGTCCTTATGCCATTGAACTCACCCTTAACAGTGGTTAAGATGGTAAATTTCATGTTGTATGTGTTTTACCAGAGTTTAAAAAAATAGGACCTTCTTTTTTTTTTTTTTTTTTGAGACGGAGTCTCGCTGTGTCGCCCAGGCTGGAGTGCAGTGGCGCCATCTTGGCTCACTGCAAGCTCCATCTCCCGGGTTCACGCCATTCTCCTGCCTCAGCCTCCCGAGTAGCTGGGACTACAGGCGCCCGCCACCGCGCCCGGCTAATTTTTTGCATTTTTTAGTAGAGACGGGGTTTCACCGTGTTAGCCAGGATGGTCTCCATCTCCTGACCTCGTGATCCACCCGCCTCGGCCTCCCAAAGTGCTGGGATTACAGGCGTGAGCCACCGCGCCTGGCCAAAAAATAGGACCTTCTTCTCAGAATTGTGAGAATTAACTGAGGTGGTTAAGATAATCACATAGAACGCTAAGAACAGTGCATGATGGCAGCTATTGCTGTTGGTTGTAATAATGGTAGTGTGTTTTAAATTCTGACTCACAAGACTGTCTCAGTTTCAGTGTGGTCTTACTGGGTTTTTTGTTGAGTCCCTAGGAAGGTAAGTGTCTCAAGGAGTAATGTTGCAGGCCTCAGTTTCTTTCTGCACATTGGGCCTCACAGACTGAAGGAGCCACTGATTGGGACTTGGAGAGCCCCAAGTCTGGCTCTGGAGCTGGACCCTACCCTGCTTGTTGTGTGGTTCCTAAGAGTCCTGCTCTGCTCTCAGATGGGGCTCTTTATGGAGTTTGGCCCTGAGGACATGCTGCTGGGCATGGATGAGGCTGAAGATGATGAGGACCTGGAGGCTGAGCTGCTGGCTCTCACAGGGGAAGCACAAACCACAGGCAAGAAGCCAGCACCCAAGGGGCAGGGTGAGTTTGGACACAGGGCTGGTCTTGGTGCTGGGACAAGATGGGCACAGGCTGGTGGTAGAGGGGTTCCCTTGCAGCTGGACGGAGCCAGCCAGATCCCCTGGTCCTTCCAATACCCATCTGCCGCACTCCCACCAAGAGGCGGCCTCGCCCTGCTTCCCCACCTTGTGTCATGGCCTGGGCTGGCCCCTCCCCATTGTGGACAAATGTGTTTCTCAGACTGACTCAGGTCCCCATCCTTAGCCCTAGCCACGGTATTGGTGTAGGGTAGGGGCCCAGTTAGCACAGACTGAACTGGGTACATAGGAAGTACATAGAAATTGTGTCCAGCGAGTTAAGTGGAATCTCCCTCCACAGCCCAGATGAGAACAGAGACTTCAGGCCTGGGAGGATCAGGAGGTCTAAATCGTCCTCTCTTTTCACCGGGAACCCTCAGAGAATCCCCCCACTCATCCCCCACCATCCTGTGTGTCCCTGAGTTGAGGATAATGGGAGGACCTAGGAAGGGGCTCACTGCTCCTGCCTTGGGGTGGCACAAGCCTAGGTTTGAATCCTAGCTCTGCCACTTAAGGATTGCAGTGATAGGAAAATTAATGTTGGAAGTTTCTCAGTTTATTCAATATATGAAAAGGGGATATTATCCATCTTGCAGATTTGTTTTGAAGCTCTGTTGGACTTTGAAAATCTTTACAGATGTGAAAGGTGTTGTTGGAGGTTGGAGAGAGTGGATGGCCATGTCTATGTCAGGCTACCGTAGGCAGAGGTGCAGAGAAAGGAGCAGCTTGTTGCTTGGTGGGGGGCCAAGGAAGGTTTCCCTGTTGAGGGTCTTTTGAACTGGGTCTTAAAGGAAGAGCAGTTTTCCAGGTGGGACTCTGCTGTGGGAGGGAAGAGGGATTTCTGCCTGGGTGGATCTACCAAGCCCCTCCTTTACTCATCCCTGAACTTATCTGAGTTGTGCTGACTTGTTGTGACCTTTTTCCCCCAGCCCCCCTGCCCATGGCCCACATCGAGAAGTTGGCGGCAGACTGTATGCGGGATGTGGAGGAGGAGGAGGAGGAGGAAGGGCTGGAGGAAGATGCAGAGCTGCTGGTGTGTCTGCCAGGCTGGTATCCCAGGGCTCTGAGGCAAGCTTGGGCCTGGTGGAGGAGAGGGCAGTGGAGAGGAGGCTGGGGGTGCCCCTGTATTCTCTGACTCTGAGTGAGTGCTTGCCCCTCCTGGCTGTACAGTGGGTGGCGTGTCTCTTTGACTTCTGGTCTAAGCTCTGCAGTTGGGGATTCTCAGATTTGGAGTAATTACTATTTTCAAGGCTATCCTCGGTCAGATTAAAGAAATGTTTTGGTGAAGGGGACTCAGGCACAGTGACTGACGTTAGGGAATATTGCTGAGAGAGAGGGTCCTTTACTCTCAGGTCCTGTTGTGGGTATGGTCTTGAGGCCCCCAAGCTCCTGGGCTGTGTTTTGTCTCCCTAGACGGAGCTGCAGGAGGTCTTAGGTGTGGACGAGGAGACTGAGCCCCTGGATGGTGATGAGGTAGCTGACCCAGGCGGCTCTGAGGAGGAGAACGGCCTAGAAGACACTGAACCTCCAGTGCAGACAGCCGTCCTGACAGCTTCAGCCCCAGCAGCTCAGGTGGGTTCTGGAGGAGGGCCCCTGTGCCTCTGATGCTCCTGTGCGCCCAGACGTAACACGTGTGTGGCCTGGCCTGCACAGCAAGGCTGCAGTCACCCTTTCCAGGACCCTCCCCCAGCAGCCGCCCCAAGCAGAAACTGAGCACAAGAAACTCCTCCGTGGCAGCCAGCCTCAAAGGCCTCTCTGTTCTCCTAGACTACCCCCCGGGAGCCATATCCTGGCTTCCACCAAGTGGGGCTCTGTATTTGCCTCTGCCATGGCCTCTGGCCTCTCCAGTGAGCCTTTGCTTCCTGCCTTAAGGCTTTTAGGCTCTTCTTTCTCCTGGAGTCCCAGAGCTCCATCTTCTAGGGCAGCTTCCGCAGAGGGAGAATGGTAGGCCTAGCAGGCCCTGGAGTGGCCAGGCCCTTAGCTGAATTGTTCATAGGCCGGAGCATCTCAGGGGCTACACGCTTTGCTGGAGGAACGGATTCACAACTACCGAGAGGCTGCGGCCAGTGCCAAGGAGGCAGGCGAAGCAGCCAAAGCCAGGCGCTGCGAGCGCGGCCTGAAGGTGAGTCGGGCTAGGCTGGGAGCAGGGCAGGGGAGGGGGCTGCATGAAAGGCGGCTGGTGGAGATCGCACCAGTGGAGGGGAGGTCACCCCACCAGACTTTGGGGGTTGGGGGGCCACCCCTGGCCTGTCTTGGAGCAGGGTCTGGGCTGAGATGGCTGGCTGGGTTTCTGGACCAGTTCTCTCCCTCAGACCTTGGAGTCGCAGCTAGCCTCTGTGAGGAGAGGCAGAAAGATCAATGAGGATGAGATCCCACCTCCAGTGGCCTTAGGAAAGCGGCCCCTGGCCCCCCAGGAACCAGCCAACAGGAGCCCTGAGACAGACCCTCCAGCTCCCCCTGCCTTGGAGTCAGGTATCTGCAGATGCCCAAATCCTGTTCTAGTTCCTGGGGTCATAGCCCACAGCGTGTGTCCCCAGCCTGCCACCACTGTTCATTACCATTGGTCACATCCTCCCCAGGACATCCTCAAGCCAGTGAAGTCCGTGGGCACCTTCTTCTGTGACCCTCATGTGCTCTCTGGGGACTGTTTGTTTCCTTATAGACAACCCCTCCCAACCTGAGACCAGCCTCCCTGGCATTTCTGCCCAGCCCGTTTCAGACTTAGACCCAGACCCGCGGGCCCTGCTGTCATCCCGACAGAGAGAGTACAAAGTGGCTGCCCTCAGTGCCAAGCGGGCTGGAGAGCTAGACCGTGCCCGAGAGCTCATGAGGATTGGGAAGGTATGGCATCTGGCTCAGGGCACCCACCCTCATTTTATAGATAGGGGAAACAGGCTCAGAAAGGGAGCTAGACTGAGATTGAGTGAGATTGGCCTAAGTGGGGGTTGTTTCAGCCCAGGCTCTTGGGGTCCCCTGTCTTTCACCCACACCTGCTTTTCCAACTTCTGCAGAGATTCGGTGCTGTCCTGGAGGCCCTGGAGAAGGGGCAGCCCGTGGATCTGAGTGCCATGCCCCCGGCACCTGAGGGTCAGTATGTATCTTCTCAGGCTGCGGTGGGGTTGGGGAGGAGTAGCAGGCCTGGGGCTGGCCAGGCCCTCCCACCTACACCTCTACTCTGGGTCCCCCAGATCTGAAGCCCCAGCAGGCTTCTCAGGCTCCCACAGCACCCTCAGTCATTCCCCCAGCCGTGGAGCGAGTGCAGCCAGTGATGGCCCCTGACGTCCCAGCAACCCCAGGTAGGGCAGGATGGTGGGACTGTGGCGTGGGGACCTGCAGGCATTGGAGGGCAGGCTGACCTGATGCCCACTTCTTCCTTCTTTCCTTCAAGTGGCCCCTACAGAGTCACAGACAGTGCTGGATGCCCTGCAGCAGAGGCTGAACAAGTACCGCGAGGCGGGCATCCAGGCCCGGAGTGGTGGGGACGAGCGCAAGGCTCGGATGCATGAGCGCATTGCCAAGGTGGGCCCGCGGCTATGCAGCCCCTGCCTGTGCTGGCCTCTTCCCTGGCTGGGTGCTCTGTCTCCCTGGTCCTCCGGCTAGTCCTTGTCTTTTCTGAACCATCATCTGTTTGTCTCTCTGGGGCTCTTGCTGCCTTAGGGATCTTTTTTTCTCCCAGGGCTGCTGTCTTCCCACCAGTCTCCCTCTCCTTGCCCCACTGTGTGTCATGTTGGGCAGGGGGCCTGTGGGCTGCTGCCGACCACAGGCCCCTCCCTTCCTTCCCTTGCAGCAATATCAAGATGCTATTCGAGCACACCGAGCAGGACGGAAAGTCAACTTTGCTGAATTGCCTGTTCCTCCAGGTAAGTGGGGCATGGCCTAGGGGCTCTGTGAGGAGGTGGTCCCTGGGCAAGAAGGGAATGGGGGACAGCCAGTGATTCCCACTTCTCATGCGTCTGCCTCCCCTCTGTGGAGCCATCCATCCCAGCCATGCCCCAGCAGAGCCATGCCCCAGACAGGGCCCCGGGTAGCTTTGTGCTTCTCTGAGGCTGCTCCCTGCCCCTCCCATGCTGTCTCTCTCCCACAGGATTTCCCCCCATCCCTGGCCTGGAGTCCACTATGGGTGTTGAGGAGGACGCAGTGGCAGCGACATTGGCAGCTGCAGAGAAACTGGCCTCTGCAGAGGATTCAGCCCCGGCTGATAAAGACGAGGACGAGGTTTGGTTGAGGGCTCAACTCCAGGGCTGGTGGGGAGAATAGCAGGTGAGGGGTAAACCCAGACCCTGTTGTCCATACTAACAAGCCCAATAAGGTACATATTCTTTCCTCCACTGTACAGAGAAAAAACTTGCCCAAGGACACCCAGCTAGGAAATAGCAGAACTAGGATTCAAACCAAGGTCTTTCTGAACCCAGAGCCCCGGCTCCATCCCCATTACCCTGCAGTCTCTCTCCTGCTGGGGAGGTTAGATGTGAGAGCTTCTGAGGCTGCTTCTAGCTCTCAGATCTTTTAGGACCCAGGAAGAGAAGCCACCCATCTCAGGTCACACAGCGATGTAGTACAGTGTTAGGAAGACAGCCCAAGTCTGGGAGCCGCCATGACTATGCTAGGGAACACATCCCCTCCTAACAGCCTCCTGGGCACCTGCAGGGTGAGCCCCCAGCACAGGCCCCAGTGGCCAAGAAACCTGCACGGCCCACAGTCCCTTCATCCCAGCGCCTGCCTGAGCCCAGGGCCTCAAGTTCTAAGGAGTCACCGAGTCCATCTGGTGAGTTGGGGACAAGCAGGGTGAAGAACTGAGGGCCTAGAGAGGGCAGGTGTGGCCCTAACCAGTGGCCTTCTCCCTTCAGTGCGGGAGCAGCTGGCACTGCTGGAGGCACGGAAACTGCAGTATCAGCGGGCAGCCCTGCAGGCCAAGCGCAGCCAGGACCTGGAGCAGGCCAAAGCCTATCTGCGGGTAGCCAAATGGCTTGAGGCTCAGATCATCCAGGCCCGATCTGGCAGACCTGTTGATCTGTCCAAGGTGAGTCCCACCTGGTTAACCACCAGGACTTCTCAGGCGGAGGTGGCGGCTGGCAGGCTTGACAGGCTGTGAACAAGGGCAGCTTCTGGGATGAGGCAGGGTTTGGACAGAGCATGATGACAGCTGGGAAAGAGCCTTTTGCTCATACTCCTCTACCTCACGGCCCCAAAGGAAACCAGGAGAAGGGAAGGTGGGCTGCCTGTGGTCAGAGATGACAAGGCTGGGCCAGGCCATGGGAGGCAAGAGTGTTATTTTGGGATAGAATGGGAGGCGATGAGTTGTCATCACTGGACTTTAGTAGAAGCTGAAGAATTACTTAGTTTGGGCTCCTGCCTTTGTTGGACTTGGTAGAGGAGTAATCTGACTCTTGGGGCCCGAGGGGCCTTGTGACCTGGGTAGGTGCCTTCGCCCTTGACGGATGAGGAGGGTGACTTCATCCTCATCCACCATGAGGACCTGCGACTCTCCCAGAAGGCGGAGGAGGTGTATGCCCAGCTGCAAAAAATGCTTCTGGAGCAACAAGAGGTCAGCAGGCCCCTCGTCTGTTCCTCCCCTCTGTGCCCACAGCCTCCCCGTGGAGGAAGACCTGGAGCTCAGACCACACAGCCCTGGACTCAAAATTCTCAGCTCTTCCACTTACTCACTGTGTGACTTGGGCAAGGCACTTTCTTCTCTGAACTACATTTTCCTCATCTATGAGATGGGGTGATAATACCCCTTTCAGGGTGGTACAAACAACAGAGAAGAGGGAAAGAACATTGTGATGTGCGTGTATGTTTATGTATTTATCTATCTGAACTGCCACCTGTTCTGGAAAGGCTGCCTTCTGAGGGGATGTTTGAGTTAGGTTTTGATGGAAGGAGTTGCTAATTTGGGGAATGGCTCTCCTCAGAAGAGAAAATGACAAAAGTGTAGGCAGAGAAACGTGGTGGGACTTGGGAGTAGTGCCCTTGGGGCTGTGTTGTGGGAGGAGAGAGGTGAGGCTACAGAGGAAAGTTGAAGCTTTGAGAAGTCTAGCCTTGAATGCCAACCAAGGCAGGTCCTGCTCTGGGCTCGGGAGTCACTCTGGGCCTCTATTTTCAGAAGTGCCTGCTGTTCTCCAAGCAGTTCATGCACCAGGGCAACGTGGCTGAGACCACCCGGTAAGTGCAAGGGCTGGGGCTGGGCTCATAGGGTGGGGAGCAGAAAATCCACCATCATGCTGACATACCCATCCCTGTCAGATTTGAGAAGCTTGCTCAGGACCGCAAGAAACAGCTGGAGATCCTGCAGCTGGCCCAGGCTCAGGGCCTCGACCCTCCCACCCACCACTTTGAGTTGAAGACATTCCAGACTGTGAGGTACCAAGGCCTAGGGAAACAGGGGCTCCAGGCAGGGAGGGGCAGGAGGCTGGGAGCCCAGGCCAGAGACTGCTACCCCTTTAGTGAGGCTTCCCAAGCCTGGCCCCGCTGTGGGCACTGGGGCTGCTGAGGACGACAGGGTGCATGCTAGTGGAGAGCGCACAGCTGTCTGGGTGCTGTGGAAAGAGCTCTGGACCAGAAGTCAGAGATCAAGGTCTGCATACCAGCTCTGCCTTCCCTCCCGTCACCACCCAGCTGGGCAGACAGGCCCTGGACGAAGGGACCTTGTTCCACTACTGTCCTTCACTTTTGAGCATTTTCTCCTTCCCGCTTGGCTCTAGGATCTTCTCAGAACTCAACAGCACAGAAATGCATCTGATCATTGTCCGGGGAATGAACCTCCCAGCCCCTCCAGGTAACCCTAGGGCCGCCCCTACTCCAGGAGGCTCTTGCCCGGACACTCCAAGTGCTAGGCTCCTGGCCACTCCCTCTGACTTGACTCCCTTTTCTCCTTCCCAGGGGTGACTCCCGATGACCTGGATGCTTTTGTGCGGTTTGAGTTTCACTACCCTAACTCGGTGAGGTTCAGGTAGAAGTAGGATCCTCTGAAACCCGCCTTGCATTCCAGGACCCTGTGCTCACTTTCTTCCCATCCCTGGGAGGTGTGGCTGCAGTGCCTGCCCTGTGTGCCTCTTTGTTTATACGCTGTCCTGACTTCTCCCTCCTCACTGCTTAGGACCAGGCTCAAAAAAGCAAAACAGCTGTGGTGAAGAACACAAACTCTCCAGGTGAGGGCCACACGTGGGCCTCTTTCTCCTCCCTCAGAGTGTGTGGGCAGCACTGGTGTTTCCAGAGTGGGTTCCCATCTATGCCCTTACTTGATCCACCCCACTTGGGAGATAAAGGTGCTGTTAACATGCTTCTTCTGTAGTTGGAGAAACACGCAGAGAGGTACAGGGACTTGCCTGGGGCCTCATGGCAAGGAAGTGGTAGAAATGGGATATGAACACAGGAATTCTGTATCCCAATTCCAAGTCTTTCCTACTTTGTTACAATCTATGACTAAAAAGAGTACAAAAACTCACTTCCAAGGCCAGGACCGCGATGCTCTACCACCCTTTGGAGGCAGTACCCCAAAATGCAGGTGGAGAGATTGGGGGAAGGCAGCCAGCCCTGGGCCTCCATTTCCACTTCCTCAGGAAATCCCGAGAGCCAAGCCCCTCCTTGCTTTCTCCCCCTTTGCCAGAATTTGATCAACTCTTCAAACTAAACATCAACCGAAACCACCGGGGCTTCAAGAGGGTGATCCAGAGCAAAGGCATCAAGTTTGAGATCTTCCACAAAGGGTGAGGCTCCTATCGGTCATGCTGCCACACGGGCCGGGAGGAGGGAAGAGCGTTTGTCACTGCTGCCCCTGCATGGGCTCAGCCAGCACATTCCTGCCTTCCCTGCCCAGTCCAATCCTCTGCTGCCTCTTGACTCCCCAGGTCCTTCTTCAGAAGCGACAAGCTGGTTGGCACAGCACACCTGAAACTGGAGCGGCTGGAGAATGAGTGTGAGATCAGAGAAATTGTGGAGGTAGGGGCTGGGGTGTGGGCAAGCCAAAGGGGTTGGTACGACAAGAGCCAATACGCACTGAATGCCACACCTTGTTGTAGGTTTTCGTGCTCATTACTTAATTTGAAATTCTCCACAAGTGTGCTTAGAGTAGGTGGAATCCTCATTTCACAGATGGAGAGGTTCAGAAGGTCTGAGAAATCTCACAGAGGGACCCAGGAGAAGGCAGCCTCCTTGTTTCCATGAACTCAATGGATTCCACAGGCAAGGACTATACGACCTTGCCTCTGACAAATGAGGAAACTCAGGTCCGAGAGGAAAGGGGGTTCTGTAAGCTCATATGGTGTGTCCTTGGCAGAGCTACGACCAGCTCCTTACTGATAACCTATGTAGGCTGGGGCTCTTCCCACTGTAGCACACCTGGCCCTACTGCCTGCCTGGGGAAGTTGTTCTTATGCGGGCCCTGGTCTCTATTGGAGCCACTGAGGGTGGTTGGACTTCTTGGGCCTATTGTACTGCTTTGTGCCCTAATTGACTGCCTCATCTTCTGCCCAAAAGAGGGAGTAGCGTGGTGAATGGGAAGGAACCCTGGGTTTGGGGTTCCAGTGCTGACTCTGCCACATAGAGTCATCTGCTTCTCTCTCTTGGCCATCTGTGAAGTGAGGGTTTGGGTCAGTGGAAGGCTGCTTCTTCAAGCCAATGTTTCTTCCAGAAGTTGCCGTGGGGATTGAGGAGAAAATGAACAGAGCTCTAGGATGCTTGTCTGGATTTATTTATTACTTTTTTAATAAGACTCACCTAAAACCACCACCACCTCCTCCTCCAAATACTGGGAGGGTAGGGTTTTCATGAATGGAGATTCCTGTGTTCATGCCACAGGACATCTTAGCTCCTCTCACTTCTTTCCTGGGAATGTAGGGACCTGCCTGCTCCCCATCTCTGTCCCCTTAGTTACCATTTCCCTCTCTGTGGTCCTCACAGGTCCTGGATGGAAGGAAGCCCACCGGGGGGAAGCTGGAGGTGAAGGTGAGGCTGCGGGAGCCTCTGAGTGGCCAGGATGTGCAGATGGTCACTGAGAACTGGCTGGTTCTGGAGCCCAGGGGCTTGTGAGGTGGGCAGCTCTCTGGGCCTTCAGAACCTTTGCCCCCTCCTTTTACTCAACTAACTACTCAACTCATATCTGGAGAGAAAACCTAGGAGTTTCTCATCTATGAGAAAGACCTACCATGCTGGGTAGGGCTTATGGGCTGAGTTTCTGATGTTCCTCAGTAGAACTGGGAAGAGAAGGTAACCTTCCAAGGTTTAACTATCTATCTATCTATCTATCTTCAGGAAACCCTTTCTAAAATCTTTGTGTTTTCACTGCAGTTTAGACTGACTTCTTGTGCTTTGCACCCCTGTGTAGCCGATGGCCAGCACCAGGAGAGGAGTCAGGCCGCGACTGTGCAGGAGATGACTTTCCCAGCTTTGCTGGCTTCAGAAGCCTTTGTACATAAGAGATGCTGCTACCCAAGCACCAAAGACCTGTTAAGCATGTGCACTACTGACCACGACTCTGGTCTTTCCTGTTGTTGGCCCCTCTGGGGCTCTACAGAAACAGGCTGGGTTCCAGGAGCCCATCTCCCCGCTGTCTCCCCCTGCCCCGAGTCTGGAAGAGGGCAAGGACACTTCCATTCCTCTGTACCATGGAGTCCTGCAGCCCCTTAACCCCTGCGTGGCAACTGTGTACAGCTTACCCCTGCCTCCAGTTGCACCACTTCTAGATGTGCCTTTAAAAGATCTAACTATGGGATGGGAGAACTTGAGGGTGATCGGGAACCTCCCCTGCTGAGGGTGGTGTCAGGGTTCCGTGACTCCAGTGGGCCAGTGGTAGCCTGTCCCAGACAACTCCGTCACCCCAGCTCTGCCTGTGCCTTTATCCCTGACAGCTGCTGCACTAGCCTTCCTGCTTCCCTAAGGACTTAGTGGAGGGGGAAAGTTGTTTTTGGTACTACTTGGTGGGAAGTAAGGGGAAGGTTGGATCTTGGGTTTGGTCTACCCACCCAAGAGAAAAGACTGTTAACTGGAAGAAAAAATATATATATAAAATTTTATGTAGACACGTTTATTTATCTAGGAAACTAAGTCTAACTCATT
Source organism: Homo sapiens (assembly GCF_000001405.40). Classification (NCBI taxonomy): domain Eukaryota; kingdom Metazoa; phylum Chordata; class Mammalia; order Primates; family Hominidae; genus Homo; species Homo sapiens. The sequence continues at coordinate 52,352,492 of NC_000001.11, read as the reverse complement.
GTAGGGATTTTATACTCAACTATACAGAGTATCCACCAAAGTCCTAATCTAAAGTCCTGCTCCCTGTCACTTTTTAAAAGCCAGGGTAGCAGTAACATGACAAACGGCTGCTGTGGCTTCCTCTTGAGAGAGGACAGGGAAAGCCTTTCCTCTTCGGCTGGTTATGTGGGGAACTTCCTTAGTTTTTTTCCACAAGAAATTCTCCTTTGGCTTTGTTTTTCTGAATGGATGGAGACTATGAAGGGGTTTGTAGTTGTAAGAGATTTAATATTCAAAACTGAAATATTCTGCATTTCTTAGAAATACCCCATCTTCCCCCACCCCCTTTTTGAATTATTAATTCAAGATCAACAAAGCATTCCTCAAGATCACTTTTAAAAAAGGTTAGAAGTGAAGCAAATACATTCAGCTTACTGATCACTATAGTATTGCATAAGCACAGCTCAAGAACTGAGCTTTGTATGTGTCCTTTTGGGGGATAACAGGGCTGGACCATGCTTCCCTGCCCTTAAACGCAGAGCTTTTAGTGGGTCACAGAGCGGGAACTACACACAAGTGACTTTTTTCCCCATGAGCCCTCTGGCCGATTTTTTTTTTTTTTTTTTTTTTGAGACAGAGTAGCTCTCTGCCAGCCAGGCTGGAGTGCAGTGGCATGATCTCAGCTCGCTGCAACCCCCACCTCCCAGGTTCAAGCGATTCTCCTGTGTCAGTCTCCTGAGTAGCTGGGATTACAGGCACCCACCACTATGCCCAGCTAATTTTTTTATTTTTAGTAGAGACGGTGTTTCACCATGTTGGTCAGGCTGGTCTCGAACTCCTGACCTCATGATCCACCCACCTCAGCCTCCCAAAGTGCTGGGATTACAGGTGTGAGCCACCGCACCCGGCTGGCCAATCTTATCAGAAGTGAGCTACCAAAACTTCCACAGATGTGAGATTTAACACTTAATTGCAGTCACGTGTATGCAACACAGCAATAATCTAGAATGAAAAGGAGGGTGATTAGCCTTCATAAGATGACCTATAGAGCAAAGAAAGGTGACTGGAAGGGTTCCTAACCCAACCTACTCCCCTTAGGGTGTGTATCCAACCCAGTGCTTCCTAAGAGGGTTACGGACCACTGTGGTTATCCTCTAAAGTTCCAGCCAGCTCTAGGAGTTTCTAAATTCAGGCCTCTGTTGGAAATGGCCTATTTCGATAGATAGAAAGTTTTCTATAGCTCTAAAGGTTTCTCCTTTGCAACCCATTCAATTTCAGTCTGCTGCTTTGCTCTTTCAAAACAGAACCTCCAGGCTGACGAGGCAAGACAAAGCCTCCCACCAGACTTGGAGATTGAAGTTCTTAAAAGGCCTTTGTTGTAGCCAAAGGCATGCATGCGTCACTGGTAGTAGGAGGAGCCTGTCCCAGCTTCATCTTGTCCTGAGATTTATCCACATACAGGAAACAGGCGGGACACAGTGGCTCACGCCTGTAATCCCACCACTTTGGAAAGCTGAGGCAGGTGGATCACCTGAGGTCAGGAATTCAAGACCAGCCTGGCCAACATGGTGAAACCCCGTCTCCACTAAAAACAAAAACAATTAGCTGGGCATGGTGGCCGGCGCCTGTAATCCCAGCTACTAGGGAGGCTGAGACACACGAATCCCTTGAGCCCAGGAAGCAGAGGTTGCAGTGAGCCTCGATTGTACCACTGCACTCCAGCCTGGGCGACAGAGCAAGACTCTGTCTCAAAACAAACACAAATACAGTATCCAAACATTGGAGATTAGTGACTCACCTGCAGTTGGGAGCCAGCTACAACCCAAATCATTTTAAAATTTTCAATTCTTTGATCTCATGCAATGCACACTTTCTTCTGAATTAGCAAACTGAATAAACTACAGAAATTTTTTAGAATCAAGAAGTCTTGCTTACAATTAAAGGGCAAACTCCTGTGACTCTAACATTTTTCCTTTCTCACAGCACCATTCTGAAATTTGCATTGTTGCTTCTGGATTTTGAAGCCTTGTTTTCCAAGTATTTGTGGGCAGCTCCTAAAAGACTTTGTCCCTTAAGTAAGGGCAGCTGCTTTCAGGATGAAACCATGCGACTGAGACTGGCAGATCCTGGGAGCTTGCACCTGGGTCAGCTCCACAGATGGATTCGTTTCTTCTCTGCCTCAGCTGCCCAGGCTCTAAAATGGCATCATTTCTCCCTACTTCTTAGCCCTTCTGACTACATACAATCCCTGAATTCCCATTGCCATGATTATTATTTTTGCATTATAAAAATAGAAACCGGCCAGGCACGGTGGCTCATGCCTGTAATCCCAGCACTTTGGGAGGCCAAGGTGGGCAGATCACCTGAGGTCAGGAGTTCGAGACCAACTTGACCAATGTGAAACCCCATCTCTTTTAAAAATACAAAATTAGCTGGGCGTGGTGGTGCATGACTGTAATCCCAGATACTGCGCAGGCTGAGGCAGGAGAATCACTTGAACCCGGGAGGCGGTGGTTGCAGTGAGCCGAGATAGTGCCATTGCACTCCAGTCTGGGCAACAAGAGCAAAACTCCGACCTCAAAAAAAAAAAAAATAGAAACATCATTACAAACTTGCTAATTCCAGAAACAATGTTCAGCAGGTTGATTGTTGTTTGAAATGTGTTAAATGCATAAATTATTTCCCAGGTGACCAGTTATCTAGAGGTAAACTTAACTGAAAATCTTGGGCCCACCAGTGCTCAGGAACCACTGTGGCTGGGGGAAGACAAGACGTGGGAATTTACAGAGGCATAATTTCAAATCTGTAGCCCTAGAGTCCAGTAGTTCCTCAGAAGATGTTGATAAAAATACATTGCCTAGCATTTGATAAGCATTTAATAATTTTAAAAAATTTAATAAATTACCAGAATGGCAATTCTATTCCTCTTAAGTATAGAAGGATCGCTGTATCTCAATCTTTAAGTTTACAATCCAGAAGATTTGCCTATTTCGAAATGTGGTTCAGCCCCTTGCTTTATATAATTCTTACAATATACATTGTATAAAAGCAAGGATAAACAAGGAAAACAATTAACTATCATTGGCTATTTTATGCCCAATTCCACAAATGATTTTACTAAACACAGAGGACATTTGATGCAGCTGAGAAAGGATCTGAGGGCCAGAGTTTGTCCTTAGTGGGAGAATTTAAAAGCTTGCACTGAACCAGAATAAATAAGTACAATGGCAAGCAGGAAGATAAACCACAGGAAAACAGGACCAGTCCCTGTAGAAGTTCCAGACTTTTGAGGTATGTTCAGACAAAGCTGGCTATTAGACCAAAAATAAGCTGCCCCTGTTAACAAGTGCTTCCTGTTCTTGTCAGGTTTGGAGGTAGTGGTTACCAGGGCTCGGTCCTGACAAGCTGCTGCTCTGTGGGCCAAGCTTCCCCTTAGAAGCTCTGAGTACCTCTGAGCCTGTGGGAAAGGTCACAGTAAGAGTTCTGTGCAACCACCGTCGGTAAAACCTTTGGAGAGGCAGATGTCGACTATAAGCTCCCACCTCAGAGAGCAGGATGAACCTACCCAGATGTTTCCCAGGCCAGGCCTTTAGGCCTCTGGAAAACAGCTGCTGCCGCAAACACAGCTCCACAGCCTGCTGTTGCCTCGTGCTAAACCCAGCACTAGCCACTGGGGAGCAGCCTGTCGCTGTCCCACAGGCCTGCGCTAGCTTCCAGGGAATTCTTGGAGCTGTACTAATACTGCAGAAAAACTAGTTTAGCCTTGGCTTTCAGAAGATGCCAGTGACAATGGAGTACATTGCCCTAAAGCAGTATTTTCAAAATGTGCATTGTGGAATCCATTTGGTCTAAGATCAAAATAAATTTTTAATGAAACAGAAAAAGGTCAGAGTGCATCACACATATCATGGATAAACCAGATTTTGGTTTCTAATACCACTCCCATTAAAAGAAGCCAGGGCTCCTTGCAGAAATAGCTGATTCCAGGGCTAGGGCAGGATAAGCACAAGATAAGCCTGAAGCATCTTGTTAGGATAGAAATAAAAAAGAAGTACTCAAAAAAAAAAAAAAAAAAAATAGCATATCACCAGGATGTAGGAGCCAGCTTGAAGGGTCTCTTGTCTAGCTAAAGCTGAGACCATTTGTGCACCAAAATAATGAATTGGAACCACTGAAAAAGGCCAGGCTTGGTGGCTCATGCCTGTAATCCCAGCACTTTGGGAGGCCAAGGTGGGGGGTTTGCTTGAGCCCAGAAGTTTGAGGCTGCAGTGAGCTAAGATTGTGCCACTGCACTCCAGCATGGGTGACAGAGTGAGACACTGTTTCAAAACAAAACAAAGCAAAACAACAGTCCATGAGTGTATAATGAAAATTAAATGAATAAATTGGGAAGGAAGGGCTTCTGCTTATAGTAGATTACCAAGTGCAACCTGTAAAGCTGGAGAATGCGCTAGAATTGGAAAATCATTTTGCAAACATAGTAAAAGATCAGTGCAGGTAAGAAACATCAATGCATGCTAATTTAACGGGACACTTTCATAGGCAAGAGATTTGCATGGTCTGAAAGTCTACATATACTGGTTATAAGTTCCAGGTAGGGGGATATACAGAGAAGTTGGACACCTTGACCAAGTGATCAAAATTTACCACTATCAATGAGGGGGCAGATGGATATCAAGTCATTATGGGCAAAAACACATAAACTGATTCTAAATATGAGGAAATATCAAACTGAGTTGTTTTCTGTTAAAAAAAAAAAAACAGGGTGGGGTTGGGGGTGGCTACATTCACCAAAAATATCAATGAGGCTGAGTGCGGTGGCTCACACCTGTAATCCTAGCAGTTTGGGAGGCAGAGGATGGCGGATCACTTGAGATCAGGAGTTGGGAGGCAGAGGATGGCGGATCACTTGAGCTCAGGCCTGGCCAACATGGTGAAACCCTGTCTCTACTAAAAATACAAAAAAATTATCTGGGGGTGGTGGCGGGCGTCTGTAATCCCAGCTACTCCGGAGGCTGAAGCAGGAGAATCGCTTCAACCTGGGAGGCGGAGATTGCAGTGAGCCGAGATTGCACCACTGCACTCCAGCCTGGGTGACAGAGCGAGACTCCGTCTCAAAAAAAATACATATCAATGACATAAAAGATCAAGATGAGTCATGACAGCCATAGCCATGTCTGATTCTATACTGGAAGGTTTACTGGAGGGAAAAAATGCTACAAAGAACATCACTGGGCAGATGCCAGGTTAAAGTATCAAATCCATGTTTGACTGAAGTAGAGAACTGTCCTACAGTTGTGTAAGAGAATATCCTTATTTTTAGGAAATAAGCATTTAGGAGGAAAGGCCTATGATGTACGCAATTTACTCTCAAATGCCTCAATTTTTTATGGAGAAGGAGAAAGGGAGAGAGAAACCCTGACAAATCAAATGGGACAAAATGTTAATAAGTGAACAAGAGGGGAATCTGGGTAAAGTGTGCGTGGGGTTTTTTGTACTTTCAACTTCCTAGAAGTTTAAATTATTTCTCAATAAAATGTATTTTTAAATTCCTCCAGTATTTATAACTAAAAATGTCCTGGGTGTATTCCATCAGCATTCACAGAAATACCCAGTTGAATACCTGCCATCCACACGGGCAGATCTCCAGCAATCCTGAACTCACCTCTGCTCTCCACATGACATTTACACTGAGTTGCCCTTCCGAAACTGGAAGAGTAGATTAAGCCCTTGAGTCTTCGATTCACTTCAATGAATAATCTGGTAAAAACAAAAATCTAAGTGTGACTTCTACTTGATAAACAGCTGTGATGTAACTGGGACAAGATCAGTGTGGAATTATCCTTTTTATACCAATTCTGTACAAAGAGTGCAAGAACTGATGCTTTATATTTTATTTCCCCTCTGCCCTCCCATCCCACCCTTGGTGATGGTTGTACCCATTTGAGCATTTCTGAGCACATGACCATAAGTAAATCTTGAGAGAGGAGCGGAATTCTTGTCTAAACAGTAACAGAAGGGGATTAGCTGCAAGGATAGCATAACTGTTGTGCAGGAACAGAAGCTGCCCAGATCTTCTTGGTGGACAATGCATAGAAGACTTAGAATTATGGAACATCGGTCCCCCCAACCACCCTTTCCCACCCGTCTCCCAAACCCCCACTCCCACCCTATTCCCCACCCCATTAATAGTGTTAACAAAAGCTTAATCTTCCAGTTTTAAAGTGCAAATGATTTGGGTATGACTGCTGTTGCAACAAGTCTGAACAGAAAAAAATGAAGTCTTCTCTGTTTATACGATGTTTTCCAGAATATAAAAGATGAGTTCCATGACAACGGGGCCCTCACTAAGCTGGCAGGCCCCTCCATGGATCACCGGCACCAAGGCGCTGTCCAGATCATTCATGTACTGCGAGGGAAGGGGCTGGCCATTGCTCCCTGCTTGATAGCCAACCTATACCACAGAGAGAAAAGGAGGAGAGGTTACTGAACAGAGAAGGCCTCTCCAGGGCTGAGGGCAAGGAGGCTGAGCAGGAAAGGAGATGTCCTTTTTGGCCATAGGCTAAACATATGGCAGTGAATACAAATTTATCCTCTTTTCTGGGTGATCACTTATCCTGTTGTTTACTCCTCCTGACCACTTGACAACCATGAGGCACTGGGTAAGCCACTTAACCTGTTATGGTCTTAGTTTTCTGGGGAAGGGTAGAGGTGTGTAAAAAGGTATGGAGTATCAGAAATAATACCTTAATCTTTGGTTGTGAAAATTAAAATGAGAAATACACAATGTACAGCTCCCTAACCTAGTAGGAACTGAATATTTGTTCTTGCATCCATCTGTTCATCCATGCACCATTCTGAGCAACTACAAATGCAGGGATCCAAAGATGAATGTAACAGGGCCCTGCCCTCAAGAGGCTCACATATTTAGCAGAAAAATGCTTGTTCTTTGTTTTATGTGAGATAGGACCAGAATACTTCATTAGTATAGCATTGGGCAAGCCGTTAAGCAGAAAATAAATATTTGTTGATTGATGACTAGTCAGGAACTGGGGCCAGACACAGAACCTTTCATCATTCCCTGATAATGGCACAACCCTGTGATCAGGAACCAGTTTCTCCTCATAAGCACTCAGGCCAGAAGCAGCTTGCTGGGCAGAATTAACACTCACTCAGTGGGGAAGGGGGATCAAGCTGAGCCTACACCCAAGTTCCAAGTGACTCGGAGCTAAAGGGTTGAGGGAACAGAGAGGTCTGGCAATTTGTAAACATCAAGGCAGGACCTGGCAGGTCCTACCACATGCTCCCCTCTTTACCCCACACTAAGAAGGAAACCAGCTCCTTGGAAGGCATGCAGGTGAAGAAGCCACAGTTCAAATGGTTCTGAGAGAATCTGACCAAGCATCACATGTGGGTATAGTACTATTAAAGAGAGGGCCAAAAACACTATATCCAGTCAGGCCAGAAGGTCGGAGAATTAAGCTCTCTGGGGTGATGCAGAAAAACTCACGTCAGAAATACAGACGTTGCCCAAGGCCAGCTTTAAAAGCTGCGGAAGACACATCATACCTGATCTGAGTCAAGTGTCACACGTAGTCCCAGTTTGGTCATTCCATCTTCCTTCAGAAGTTTCAGGTGAGGACAGAGAGCAAGGCAAAAAGCTTTGGCAACATGCTCAGTCAATCTACTGTGATCTGCAGGATCACTGAGGCAATTGTGCTGGTCATCGTTTTCTAGGAAAAACACCTGTTCCCCAAACAAAAGAGACTTTTAAACTTGTGCCTAGATTTTGGGAGAAGTAGATTAGCTCACTGTATATGAGCACCCTGATTCTCCAAGATGTGCAAGAAGACATGACAGGAACAGGACACCATAAAGTCCCTGGTCCAGGAAAAGTTGGGCATTTGTCTTCCACCTAAAAAAAAAACAATCCCTGTCTCTCCATCTCTGCATCCACAAAATGACAGCAGCAGCCTGCCTAACTCCCTGCAAGCCTCCATGGTTGCAATGGCACATTCTTCTCAGAACTAGAAAAGGCCTCCATTTTGCATTGTATGCCACTAAAAGGTAATCCCTGTATGTGGACAATTTACCTAGAAAATGATCTTAAGTCTAAGAGAATGGCTCTTATAGCTGACGTGACCCAGCTGCTTTATTTTACAATTAGTCTTAGAAGGGAATTGACTGGCTCAAGGGCACAGAAGAATTTAAGAGACAGAGGAAGAGCCAGGCTGAGCCTGGCATCTGAGCCTTTTATTGCAGAGCTTTTTCCACCACACAGCCCTGCCACTATAGAGGCGGGAACTGTGTCAGCACTGTGCACAGGCAGAAGTGGAACACACTTGGAACTGATGACCTAAGTCCTAGCACCATAGAGGAAGGGTCATGAGCAAGTCCGTTAGAGGACTAAAGGAAGTTAAAGGACTTTTTTTTTTTTTTTTTGGAAACAAAGTCTCACTCTGTCACCAGGCTGGAGTGCAGTGGCATGACCTCTGCCCACTGCAACCTTTGCCTCTTAGGTTCAAGTGATTCTCCTGCTTCAGCCTCCTGAGTAGCTGGGATTACAGGCATGTGCCGCCATGCCTGGCTAATTTTTGTATTTTTAGTAGAGATGGGGTTTCACCATGTTGGCCAGGCTGGTCTTGAACTCCTGACCTCAGGTGATCTGTCCACCTCGGCCTCCCAAAGAGCTGGGATTACAGGCATGAACCACCGCACCTGGCCCAAAGGACTTACTTTATTTTTTTTTTGAGATGGAGTCTCAACTCTGTTGCCCACCGCCCAGGCTGGAGTGCGGTGGTGCGATCTCAGTTCAGTGCAACCTCCACCTCCTGGGTTCCAGCAATTCTCTTGCCTTAGCCTCCCAAGTAACTGGGACTACAAGTGTGCACCACCACACCTGGCTAATTTTTATATTTTTAGTAGAGACGGGGTTTCACCATGTTGGCCAGGTTGGCCTTGAACTCCTGACCTTAGGTGATCCTCCTGCCTCAGCCTCCCAAAGTGCTACGATTACAGGTGTGAGCCACCGCACCCGGCCCAAAGGACTTCTTTTTTTCTTTTTTTTTGAGATGGAGTCTCGCTCTATTGCCCAGGCTGGAGTGCAATGGCACGATCTCGGCTCACTGCAGCCTCCACCTCCCAGGTTCAAGCGATTCTCCTGCCTCAGCTTCCCAAGTAGCTAGGATTACAGGAGCCTGCCACCAAGCCAGACTAATTTTTGTATTTTTAGTAGAGATGGGGTTTCACCATGCTGGCCAGGCTGAGGACTTCTTAATAATTAATTTGTCTCGGCCGGGCACGGTGGCTCATGCCTGTAATCCCAGCACTTTGGGAGGCCAAGGAGGGTGGATCACAAGGTCAGGAGATCAAGATCATCCTGGCTAACACGGTGAAACCCCGTCTCTACTAAAAATACAAAAAACAAAAAACAAAAAAAATTAGCCGGGCGTGGTGGCAGGTGCCTATGGTCCCAGCTGCTCAGGAGGCTGAGGCAGGAGAATGGCGTGGACCTGGGAGGTGGAGCTTGCAGTGAGCCAAGATCACACCACTGCACTCCAGCCTGGGTGACAGAGTGAGACTCCGTCTCAAAAAAAAAAAAATTAATTTGCCTCTGTAAAGTGGAAAGCACCTGACTTCTCTGGTTATTGTAAAGATAAAACTATATAAAGGCAAAATATAAGGCCGGGTGCGGTGGCTCACACCTGTAATCCCAGTACTTTGGGAGGCCGAGGCGGGCAGATCACAAGGTCAGGAGTTTGAGACCAGCCTGGCCAACATGGTGAAACCCTGTCTACTAAAAATACAAAAGTTAGCTGGGTGTAGTGGCACATGCCTGTAGTCCCAGCTACTCAGAAAGCTGAGGCAGGAGAATCGCCTGAACCCAGGAGGCAGAGGTTGCAGTCAGCCGAGATTGCACCATTGCAATCCAGCCTGGGTGACAAGAGCGAGACTCCGTCTCAAAAAAAAAAAAAAAGGCACTTTGGGAGGCCAAGACGGGCGGATTGCGAGGTCAGGAGATCGAGACCATCCTGGCTAACACGGTGAAACCTCATCTCTACTAAAAATACAAAAAAAAAAATTAGTCGGGCGTGGTAGCGGGCGCCTGTAATCCCAGCTACTCAGGAGGCTGAGGCAGGAGAATGGTGTGTACCCGGGAGGCGGAGCTTGCAGTGAGCCGAGATTGCGCCACTGCACTGCCGTCTGGGCGACAGAGCGAGACTCTGTCTCAAAAAAAAAAAAAAAAGGCAAAATATAAAAGACACAGAAATGCAAATACACGATGTTTCTATATAGCAACCCCTAGCTTACTGCTCCATAAGGAACTTACACTGAGAGGACTACAAAGGAGGCAGCTCCGAAGCCCCGTACCTGGATGCACTGGAGAGTGGTGGCATGAAATGACCGAGTGGGAGTCAGGAGACCTGAGCGCTGGCCCCTGCTCTGCCATTAACCAACATCAGTCACAAAGTTACAGTCACATGACCTGTTTGAGCCTGTCTTCTCATCTGCATCTTAGGATGGGTAGCTTGCCTACCTCACTGCTACTGGGGAGCAAAAAGGAGGGAACAGAGGTCAAACTGCTTTATAAGCCATAAAGTGTTTTACACGTTCCAGACTCTGCACTGCTCAAAATGTGTCAAAGGGACGAATCATTACATAGCAAGCAACTAAAATCCCTTGGCTGCATATGAAATCATGGAGCCTGTTATGCAGGATGAGTCCCTTAGGACTACTGCTCAGAACTGGAGAACCAGGTCTCATCTCTGCTATCAGGAACTAGCCATATGAATTTGAGTAAGAGATTTAACAACCCTGGGTCTCTGTTTCCTTTTGTGTGAAATGGAAAAGCCAGAAGTCGTAGAATTTTTTTAAAAAAACATAAGAGTTTCAAAGCTGAAAAGAATCCTAGAGATCTTATAATTTAATCCTTTACAAATGAGCATACATGAGGTTCAAAAGTAATAAAGGGATCTAAGATCTACCAGCTTACGAGAACTTTTAAAATTTTTTTCGTATTTTATTTTTTCTCAGACCTCTTGGGGATGAAGAGAATAAACTTTCTGATCTATATGACATGTACATACAAAAAAGGGTCACTGCCCTGCTCCTCTCATTCCCAGGTGAGCCTCTAATACAGCTTTCAAGTTAAGGAGCAAATTAATACAGTGGGAAAGAGCTTAGGAGTTGGCCAGATCTGGGTTTTAATCAGGATTTTATCATTATTTATTTGCCTTGTAATCTTGAGCAAGTTAATTAGTCTCTGAGCTTTAGTTTTGTTTGTTTGTTTTTGGAGACGGAGTTTCGCTCTTGTTGCCCAGGCTGGCGTGCAATGGCACAATCTCGGCTCACCACAACCTCCACCACCCAGGTTCAAGCGATTCTCCCACCTCAGCCTCCTGAGTAGCTGGGATTACAGGCATGCACCACCATGCCCGGCTAATTTTGTATTTTTAGTAGAGACGGGGTTTCTCCATGTTGGTAGGGCTGGTCTCAAACTCCAGACCTCAGGTGATCTGCTCACCTTGGTCTCCCTCAAAGTGCTGGGATTACAGGCGTGAGCCACCACACCCGGCCTAGTTTTTTTTTTTTTTTTTTTTTTTTTTTTTGAGACGGAGTCTTGCTCTGTTGCCTAGGCTGGATGGAGTGCAGTGGCGTGATCTCGGCTCACTGTAACCTCTGCCTCCCGGGTTCAAGTGATTCCCATGCCTCAGCCTCTCAGGCAGCTGGGACTACAGGTGTGCACCACCATGCCTCGGCTAATTTTTGTATTTTTAGTGGGTATGGGGTTTCACCATGTTACCCAGGCTGGTCTTGAATTCCTGACCTCAAGTGATCCACCCACCTCAGCCTCCCAAAATGCTGGGATTACAGGTGTAAGCCACTGTGCCTGGCCTAGTTTTCTTATTAGTGAAATAAGTATTTTTTAAAGACCGTCATGTTATCTAAAATAGTTTATAAGTACAGAATAACTGACCCAGCTTTCTGAAGAATACAGCAAAGATGGAATGTACCACTCAGAGATCTACTCTTCTGGAGTTCCAATGCAAAGAAATATCTAAAAGTTAGTTCACAGGAAGGAGGATACATCAGACAGGTGCAGGCTGCAACTGGCAGCATTTCTTCCTGGTGATTTCAGATAGGAATTGTAGTATAAACGAGAAAGATTTTTCTCAGAGATATTTTTTTCTTATCCTACAAAGTCAACCCAGAATGTGGCTCTTGGCCTAGCAAAAAGTTGTGCTCAAAGTGGGTCAAGTATGCCAAGTTTCATTTCCTTACCTCTGTCCATCTGATTACTTTTCCATTTGCTTTATATTCTGATCCATGGAATATCTTCACATTTGTTATAGTCTCCATGGACTTCCCATCTATAGGACTTACGACACTAAAATAGAGGCAAAGGAAAGATAGAAGCAGCTCTTGAAGTTAGAAAAGCCATTTTTCCTATCACGTTTTGCTGCAGAAGTCTTCCTGCTAATTACACTGGGTACCCTGCTGAACACACCTGTGCAGCACATCATAGCAAGAAGCAGCCACTGTATAAAAATGTACATGAACTGAGCTCTTGGGAAAGAATCTATGCACTGAAATAGTTCAAAGAACACACATGCAAAAAAGGAATCATTTTTCCAGGAGCTAGTTCTCTTTAACGTAAAGAAATTGATTAATCAAACCTGCTCTTCTTCCAGTATCCCTTCTTTCAGTGAATGCATGGTCACCCACTCAATCTTGTTTTCACTCTGCTCCTGACTCTGTAATGATACTTGTCATGATATATTCTTCATGTTTGCATACCTGACTTACAAATGAACTTCTGAAGGGGAGGGAATATGATATATTCCCCTCTATGTGCTTATATTCCCATTACTGACCCACTGCTTGGAACTTAGGAGTCTAATAAATATTTATTAAGAATCATTTGCTGGGCATGGTGGCTCACGCCTGTAATCCCAGCACTTTGGGAGGCTGAGGTGGGTAGACTGTCTGAGCTCAGGAGTTCGAGACCAGCATCAGCAACATAGCAAAACCCTACCTCTACTAAAAACACAAAAAATTAGCCAGGCAATAGTGGTACATGCCTGTAATCCCAGCTACTGGGCAGGCTGAGGCATGAGAATCACCTTGAACCTGGGAGGCGGAGGTTGCAGTGAGCTGCGATCGCACCACTGTACTCCAGCCTGGGTTACAGAGCAAGACTCTGTCTCCAAAAAAAAAAAAAGGAATTATTTGACCAAGTTGCTAATTATGACAGTGCTAGTGTAAACAAGTATCTATGTATCTGTCATAACACCTTCCCTTTAGTGCTAAATTATCACTCCTAGATTCCTAAACAAAAAGGCCACTTCTGATAGTCATTTCCTCCCTGAAATACAAGTATAAATACATGGAGATACACATTCATTCTGATTAGGATTCAAAATAATTGGCACACAGATTCTAAACTTTCCCTAACAATTTTCAAACCTGTTTATGTTCTTGAATCTCTATTTTTTTTTTCTTGAGACAGAGTTTCGCTCTTGTTGTCCAGGCCGGAATGCAGTGGCATGATCTCGGCTCACCGAAACCTCCGCCTCCCGATTCAAGTGAGTCTCCTGCCTCAGCCTCCTGAGTAGCTGGGATTACAGGCATGTACCACCACGCCCAGCTGATTTTGTATTTTTAGTAGAGACGGGGTTTTTCCATGTTGGTCAGGCTGGTCTTGAACTCCCAACCTCAGGCGATCCACCTGCCTCAGCCTCCCAAAGTGCTGGGATTACAGGCGTGAGCCACCACACCCGGCCAAATCTCTATGTATTAAAAGTCGAATCTAACTTAAACTTCCATATCAGGCATTCACTTCATTTAGTCAAAATTACTTGAATTTAAGTTTAATTTCTAATTCATCAAATAGCAATGTTAAAAACAAAACAAAAAAAGAGCACCCTTTGTTGTGTAGAATCCTTTGAGAAAGGATACAAAGTTCAGTTTGTAATGTATAAATGCAATGTTTTCCAGCTTGTCCCTGAATGTCTGGGTATGAGAGGAAGAAAGGGGTGAGGGGGAAAGAAAAGTGTCAAAGATGTCTCCAAGGTTTTGGCTTGAACCATTAGAATAGAGTTGCCGAACACTGAGAAAGAATACAGAGTTTGAAGCCCAAGAAGGTGGTTTTCAGAGCTAGTCTTATCACTTCCTAGCTTTGTAGACCTGAAAAGTCACTTAGCCTTTTGGTACTTGTTTACTCATTTATAGAATGGAAATGTTAACACCTGTTATTGTATCAAACAAAACAATGTTGGCAAAAATGTGTTGTAAATCTTAAAAGGCTCAGGTATTACTGTTATCTCAATAACTATAGAGGGACTTTTTTGTTTCATCAATCCCTCTACTTATACTTCCCTCAAAAATACATACAGAAACTCCTTCAGAAACTAACTTACAAAACCAGAAATTTAAAATTCTACGTTAAGCATACAAAGCAGTCTTTCTCTTAGGCAGGGCTTTCAGTAAAACTATAAAACACCAATGTAGACAGCAGACAAAACCCAGAGCCTAACCTATAACTAAAAGCCACAAAGGGGGACATGTGCTGCATTTACCCCTTGCTAACGTTCTTGTCATCATCCACCCACTGGATGTGGATGTGCTCCTGGGGTTCCTCCGCGTCCGCCTTCCCACAGGTGATGGTGAAGTCCTTCATCTCTCGCAGTGCCTGCCTCAAGGAATCCATGTTCTCTGCAGTAATCTGGACCATAACACCATCTAAGAATCAGTACAAAGCCAAAGGAGAGGCAAATGAAACACAGCACCTGGCATCTAGCAAATTCCTCCGAGTTAAATGTAAACCTTAGCTCTGCTTTCCAAAGCTGACTGATACAGAGGTTTTGCTCTTTGAGCTGAACCTCTTACTGAAAGTGTTGTGAGAAGCAATGCCAAGATTAAAACACATGCTTGTTGATTTCACTTCAGACACAACTAAGAATTTCTCCTGAGACTACTTAAGGGGAAAACTTAAACACAGTCACATTCTTCTTCTGGACACACTGAATATTTTGTTCCTGTTTTCACTCCTGCATTTATCATCCTCTGGTCATATTCATTTGTTTGCATCTCCATCTCTCTCACCTTACTATGACTGCCTGGCATACAGTGAATGCCCAATAAATGTTTGCTAAATAAATCACTGAATAAATTATAGTAGTGGGCTTGGAGATAAATCCATTTATTGACTAGCAAATAAGGCAAACCTACCACAGAGTTTCATATGGGCTACCAGATAACCAACAGATGGTAACTTTTTCAGCTGCTACCTACCTGAGTTGAAGGCAAACACTGAAATTGACAGTAAAAGTTGTCACATGCTGAGCAATTACTCTGCTTCACTGACACACAATGAAATAATTTCTAAAGAGTCTCAATAACAATTTCATAGTCAGCCAATCGCTCCACTGAAACACACAAGTGAAATGCAAGACCCAAGAAATTCCCAAGCCAGACACATAAACACATAATTTTTAAACACACTGCTTTGAATTGGTAAGGATCTGTGTCAGGTCAATTTATCTTTTTTTTTTTTTTTTTTTTTTAAGAGATGACTGCCCAGGTTGGAGCGCAGTGACTATTCACAGGGACGATCATAATGCACTGCAGCCTCAAGCTCCTGGCCTCACAGGGTCCTCCCACCTCAGCCTCCCAAGTAGCTGGTACTATAGGTGTATGCCACCATGCCCAGCTCATTTTATCATTTAACAACATTTAAGGGGTGTTTTAAAATCACCTTGTGAAGTCACAATTTCAACTATAGTCAACACTTCATCATATAGGCTTTAACTAGTTGCTTTAGACCAAATGACTGTTTAACTCCTAGATTAATTAAGCTGGGTGTGGTGGTTCACACCTGTAATCCCAGCACTTCGGGAGGCTGAGCCTGGTGGATCATTTGAGGTCAGGAGTTCAAGACCAGCCTGACCAACATGGTGGAACCCCATCTCTACTAAAAATACAAAAAAATTAGCTGGGCGTGTTGGCGCACAACTGTAATTTCAGCTACTCAGGAGACTGAGGCAGGAGAATCACTTGAGGTAGAAGTTGCAGTGAGCCAAGATTGTGCCACTGTACTCCAGCCTGGGCTACAAGCCTCCATCTTAAAAAAAAAAAAAAAAAAACAAAAAAAACCTCTTAGATTTCATAACAATTTGTTAACGGCATGTTTCTGTTTTGTAGTCAAGAGTTGTAAATTTTAGTTGTAAAATATTAGTGCACTCTGTGTTTCACTCACTGTTTTATTAAATTTACCAAAAGAAGACCAAAGCTAGTATCTATAAATATATGTAAGATTATCTACGTATTTCAATCAACACACTGGAATCCAGCCCTAAGAAAGGACCTTTTTTTTTTTTAAAGATAGAGTCTCACTCTGTCGCCCAGGCTGGAGTACAATGGCACAATCTCAGCTCACTGCAACCTCTGCTTCCCAGGTTCAAGTGATTCTCCTGCCTCAGCCTCCCAAGTAGCTGGGATTACAGGCATGCGCCACCACGCTTGGCTGTTTTTTGTATTTTTAGTTGAGATGGGGTTTCACCATGTCGGCCAGGCTGGTCTCCAACTCCTGACCTCAAGTGATCTGCCCCCCTCGGCCTCCCAAAGTGCTGAGATTACAGGCGTGAGCCACCGCACCCGGCCTAAGAAAGGACTGTTTTTACACAGAGCTTTGGAGTGAGCTACTGTAAAAATGAAAACCTGTCATCATGTGAGGCAGACTACATTTTCCATAAATGGTCATATCTCCCATCTCATTTTTCTACAATGCTATCTTCCCATTCTCCCATGTAGAAGTGAAGTCTAATTTCCCTCCCTTTTTCCAACACCAGAGTATGGTGGAAATGACACAATATAACTTTAAAGGGTGGGTCACAAAAGGCAATGCAGCTTCCACCTTCTTGCTAGAACATTCATGTTTGGAGTCCTGAACCACCATGTAAAAAGTCCAGCTATCCCAATGGTATCAAGCCATGTTAAGGAGTCCCCACGTAAGTACCCCAGTCACCACTCCTAGTCTTTAAATCATCCCAGGCCAGGCCTCAGACGTGTGTGTGAACAAACCTTCATATAATTCTAGCTCCCAGTCATCAGATAACTTCAAGTGATCCCAACTAAGACTCCAAACATCATGAAGCAGTGTTAAGCCATCCCTGCATTGCCCTGTCAAGATTACTGATCTAGAGGATAAGCAAGCATGATAAAATGGTTGTTTTAAGCCATCTGTTATGAAATAAGAGTAGCAAAATCAAAACACAATGAATAACCAACAAAGAAAATAAACGGTGTGCCAATTAGCTTTTAGTTTAATTAACTTTTGTCAACATATGTGTCATGTCTAATTATAGCACACTAGCAGCAAGCACATGCCATTTTGTACTCCAAATGATGACCACAGCATTCTTGTGGACAGGACTTTCATCTACACATTTAGATATTAATATTTCCACCCAATGATATATTTGAACTCAGACTACATGCCCTCAGGTACCTTATCCCAGAGCTCTGAAAGGCCATCTCCTAGTTTTAATGTCATTGTCACATGGTATCCCTACCACTTACTCCTTTCTTCAGAGAACTAAGCACTCTCATGGCAGTTTTAATTTGCTGAAGAGATGCTACTGAAAAAACAGTAGGAGTCAGACATCTACAGCAGAAGTGTAAAGGATTCCCTTTATGTACATAAGTTCAGTCCTTATTATGAGGACTGAACAATTCATTCTTTACCTTCCACAATACTGGACTTGGCAAGGTATCCAGAAGAGGATTTCAGAGCGCCACTGAACACAAAGAAACTGGCACCAGTCACTAAAACAGCAATAGAAATAGTTTAGTAAGACAGACCCTAAGCTGGAGGGATTGAAAATAATAACAAAATATTCAGAAGTTGAGAATTCCGACCATCATCACACAGAAAATTTTAAAAAATCAAATCTATATTCCACAATAAACATGTAACCAACAATTCTGATGCTTACAACAGCTTTGGGAACTAGGTTTTAAGATACACTCCCCCATTTTGTTTTGTTCTTCCTCTAATTAAGAATCCAAGTATCTTACAAGAAAAGGAATCTTAATGGTTGAGGTCAGGGGGTTGGCAAGCTATAGCCTGCCTGGCCTCCAGCCTGCTTTTGTAAATAAAATTTTATTGAAACACAGCCATGTCCATTCATTTACTTATTGTCTATGGCAGTTTTTGCACTATAATACTAGAGCCGAATAGTTGTTGACAAAAACCACAGCTTGCAAAGTCTAAAATATTTATCATTTGGCCCTTCACAAAAAAAGTTTGCCACCCCCAATCTAATCCATTGATTTTCAGATTTTTTTAGATCAAATATATTCTGAAGATAGAAATATGGTTGCCAACTATTTTATCTGCTAAGTTTTTTTTTTTTTTTTTGAGACGGAGTCTCGCTCTGTCACCCAGGCTGACGTGCAGCGGTGCTATCTCTGCTCACTGCAAGCTCCACCTCCTGGGTTCACGCCATTCTCCTGCCTCAGCCTCCCGAGTAGCTGGGACTACAGGCATGTGCCAGCATGCCCCGCTAACTTTTTTGTATTTTTAGTAAAGATGAAGTTTCACCACGTTGGTCAGGCTGGTCTTGAACTCCTGACCTTAGGTGATCCACCCACCTCGGCCTCCCAAAGTGTTGGGATTACAGGCGTGAGCCACCATGCCCTGCTTTTTTTTTTTTTTTTTTAAGAGACAGGGTCTTGCTATGTTGCCCAGGCTTGTCTTGAACGCCTTAGCTCAAATGATGCTCTCGCCTTGGCCTCCCAAAGTGCTGGGATTACAGGCATGAGCCACCGCGGCTGGCCTAACACGGGGTTTCTTAGATTAAATCTATTAAACAAGACTTATTTTTTCATGTGAAGTTTTTAACACCATGGTGCCTGAGAAAACACTTTGGGTAACGCCTCTTGAGCAATGCTTCTCAAAGTCGAATGTGCACTTGAATCACACAGAGATCTCGTTAAAATGCAAATTTTGATTAGTGAATCTGGGGTGTGGAGACCACATTCTGAATAGCACTGAAACCTCCTTCAGAATCCTGTCAAGTTAATTAGCATTCTGTGGGAATGGTCATCCAACAAGCTTCAAATTTACCTAAACATACTCTCATTATGGGGCCTAGTCGTGCCTTCAAATGCCAGAGCTGGCCCTTGTCAATATCCTAAGGGCATATTTTTTTTTTTTTTTTTAATTATTATACTTTAAGTTCTAGGGTACATGTGCACAACATGCAGGTTTGTTACATACGTATACACATGCCATGTTAGTTTTGCTGCACCCATCAACTCGTCATTTACATTAGGTATTTCTCCTAATGCTATCCCTCCCTCCTAAGGGCATATTTTCAAAATTGTTCCCTCAATAACACATATCCCATTTGCAACTCTGAGTCTGGCCACTTGGGGAGTCAACATAATCCTGAAGAATATGGTTGGAAAGGTTAATTAATTTGTTTGTGGTCACCTATCTAGAAAGTGAGTGTTACGGGACTGAGGTATCTAACTGTCCAAGTCCAGTATAATTTTCCATTATCATAATCTCAACCAGCTCAAATGCTCACCTTTTCTGGGCTGATTGTGAATACTGATAGCCTGGGTCTGATAGTTTCCATCATCATTCTGTACACACACAAGATGAGAGTCTGCCTTTTCATTGAAGCAGGCACCTCCTGCCAGGACATGCTCATTGGACTTGTTCATGGCTTTCATCATCTGCAATCAAAGAGATAACCTTATTCTGACAAGAATGGGCATTTTTCTGTCTGACATGGTGCAACTCCATCTTCTCAAAAACAAAACTAACAGAATATTACGTATTAAAGTGACAAAAAGGGCCACCAAATAATGAAACAAAGTAAAAAAATGTCACCATTAACAAATCAATGTACACAAAAATTCCCTGTACATTTTATAAGCCATTTGTACTATGACCTAATAAGCACATGATACATTTTGCATTCACTTTTTGTCTTATTGCTGATTGAACTCAAGTAGCTAAAATTAGTTTAGCTAATTGTAGTTTCTCCTATATACTGGATTCTCTGAGGATATATAATCTGAAATTCTAAGTTCAAAAGAATGTCCCATATTTAAGTACATCTGCTTTCTTTTTCAACTTCCAAAGGAGTGAACTTCCCTCTAAAAACATATGAAATTCAAATTGTTTCTTAATTTTACTAACTTATGTTTGAGATCTTCAATGAAATTAGTTACTAATATTTTGCTTTATTCTTCTCAAAAGATTTAACATGATAATTCTGACCTAATCCAAAAAAAAAAAAATTCATGGGCCACTGTTTTGCATGTAATATGTAAGAACTCACCTTGATGTTAAACTCCAACCCTTGGCTGAAACAGGTTAATGATCATTTGTTGTTATTTATTTCTATAAAGAGTTTGGGGCCAGGCACGGTGGCTCATGCCTATAATCCCAGCAATTTGGGAGGCCGAGGCAGGCGGATCACGAGGTCAGGAGATCGAGACCATCATGGTTAATACGGTGAAACCCCGTCTCTACTAAAAATAAAAAAAAATTTAGCTGGGCATGGTGGCAGATGCCTGTTGTCCCAGCTACTCAGGAGGCTGAGGCAGGCGAATGGCATGAACCCGGGAGGCGGAGCTTGCAGTGAGCCAAGATCGCACCACTGCACTCCAGCCTGAGGAAAGAGCAAGACTCTGTCTCAAAAAAAAATAAAAAAAAAAAAAAGAGTTTGACACCTTTTTTTTTTGAGACAGGGTCTCTCTCTGTTGCCCAAGCTGGAATGCAGTGGCTCGATCTTGGCTCACTGCAACCTCCGCCTCCTGGGTTCACGCCATTCTCCTGCCTCAGCCTCCCGAGTAGCTGGGACTACAAGTGCCTGCTACCACGCCCAGCTAATTTTTTTGTATTTTTATAGAGACAAGGTTTCACCGTGTTAGCCAGGATGGTCTCGATCTCCTGACCTCGTGATCCGCCCACCTCAGCCTCCCAAAGTGCTGGGATTACAGGTGTGAGCCACTGCACCCGGCCGACACTTTTTTTTTTTTTTTAAGAGACAGGGATCTCACTATGTTGTCCAGGCTGGATTCAAGCTCCTTGGCTCAGGTGATCCTCCCACCTCAGCCTCTTGAATGGCTGGGATTATATAGGCACATGCCACCTAGCCCAGCTCTGGGTTAATGATAATTTGTTTTTATTTCCCATTTTTTCCTTCATGTCATCCCATTTGTCCAACTTTCTGATCTAATCCTTTAAAATTGAGCCTTTAAACATCTAACTGGAAACTTATTTTGTTTTACTCCCCTCTTCCTCCTATAAGCTGTAGTGTTGCAGGCCAGGCCCGGTGGCTCACACCTGTAATCCCAGCACTTTAGGAGGCCGAGGTGGGTGAACCACTTGAGGTCAGGAGTTCGAGACCAGCCTGGCCAACATGGTAAAACCCCATCTCTACTAAAAGTACAAAAAAATGAGCTGGGTGTGGTGGCGGGTGCCTGTAATTCCAGCTACTTGGGAGGCTGAGGCAGGAGAATCACTTTACCCCAACAGGTGGAGGCTGCAGTGAGCCAAGATTGCGCTACTACACTCCAGCCTGGGGAACACAGGGAGACTATCTCAAAAAATAAAAATAAAATAAAAAAGTTGTAGTGCTGTCAGAGTTGTTTGACTCCATCTTGAACAGGGGCTGGGTAAAATGAGGCTGAAACCTGCTGGGCTGCATCCCAGGAGGTTGGGCATTCTTAGGATAGGAGGAAAGCACAAGATACAGGTCACAAAGACCCCACTGATAAAAACAGAATGCTGTAAAGAAGCTAGCCAAAACCCACCAAAACCAAGATGGTGATGAAAGTGACCACTGGAGGTCCTCACTGCTCATTATCACTAATTATAATGCATTAGCATGCTAAATGACGCTCCCACCCATGCATGACAGTTTTACAAATGCCATGGCAATGTCAGGAAGTTACCCTATATGATCTAAAAAGGAAGGAACCCTCAGTTCCAGGAATTCCCCACCCCTTTCCCAGAAAACCCTTTGTTTAGCATATAATCAGGAAATACCGTAACTATACTCAGTCAGGCAGCCCATGACACTGCTCTGCCTATGGAGCAGCCATTCTTTTTTTGAGATGGAGTTTCGCTCTTGTTGCCCAGGCTGGAGTGCAGTGACACTATCTCAGCTCACCGCAACCTCCAGCTCCCAGGTTCAAGTGATTCTCCTGCCTCAGCCTCCCGAGTAGCTGAGATTACTGGCATGTGCCAGCACACCCACTAATTTTGTATTTTTAGTAGAAATGGGGTTTCTCCATGTTCGTCAGGCTGGTCTCGAACTCCCGACCTCAAGTGGTCCGCCCACCTTGGCTTCCAAAGTGCTGGGATTATAGGCGTGAGCCATCGCACCTGGCCTGCCCATTTTTTAACTGGGTTGTCTTTTTTTTAGAGACTATGGTGCTATGTTATGTTATGTTATGTTATGTTATCCAGGTTGACACTGATCCTCCCACCTTATCCTTCCAAGTAGCTGGAACTACAGGCACATACCCACTTTGCCTTGCTGTCTTTGCTGTTGACACGGAAGAATTTTTTTTTGTTTTGTTTTTGAGACAGTCTCGCTCTGTCACCCAGGCTGGAGTGCAGTGGCGCGATCTAGGCTCACTGCAAGCTCCACCTCCCAGGTTCACGCCATTCTCCTGCCTCAGCCTCCCGAGTAGCTGGGATTACAGGTGCTGGCCACCATGCCCGGCTAATTTTTTGTATTTTTAGTAGAGACGGGATTTCACCGTATTAACCATGATGGTCTCGATCTCCTGACCTCATGATCCGCCAGCCTTGGCCTCCCAAAGTGCTGGGATTATAGGCATGTGCCACCGCGCCCGGCCGATATGTAAGAATTCTTAAGACCCTTATGAGAGATATGATCTGAAAATATTTTCTCCCATTTTATAGGTTGTCTTTTCATTTTCTTGCTAATGTCCTTGGATGCACAAAATTTCTAATTTTTATTAAATCCAATTCATCTATTTTTTTTCTTTTGTTGCTTGTGCTTTTGGGGTCATATCTAAGAATCCAATGCCAAATCCAAGGTCACGAAAGATTACTGTTTTCGTCTAATAGCTTTATGGTTTTAGCTCTTATATTTAGTTTGTTGGTTGATTGTTTTGAGTCAGTTTTTATATATAATGTGAGGTAAGGGTAAGTTTTAAAATTGAGAAGTATAAATCCACCAATTTTGTTCTTCTTTTTTCAAGAACATCCACGAAGGGCTATTAAGGGCCCCTTGCAATTACAGATGATTTGAATATTGGCTTTTCCATTGCTGCAAAAAGGCCATTGAAATTTTGATACGGCTTGCAATGAATCATTTGTAGATCACTTTTAATATTGACATCTTAACAATATTAAGTCTTCTAATCCATGGAACATCTTTCCATTTACACAGGTCTTTAATTACTTTCAGCAACGTTTTGTAGTTCTCAGGGTACAAGTCTTTTACTTCCTTGGTTAAATTTACTCCTAGGTATTGTATCCATACAACTCTAAGGCATCATCATCATCTCTTGGCTTTACTTTATTATAACTCTTCCAAAGCACCAGAGGTATCCAAACTATAATTGAATACTCCTCTTACACTGATATTTATCAACCTCACTAATCCAAACCACTTCTACCCAGGTTTTCCAAAGGTTACTTTGAAATAATTCTTCTGTAAATAGGATGAGTCAGCTAGAAGATTTCTGCTTAGCAAAGCCAACTGACAGACACATTTAGGTTCTCATTTGCAATTTACATTTGTATCACATGAAAGAAACTGAGATGATCACAATTTTAAAGAAATCATTTCTTCCGAATCATTAGGCTAAAGTGGTTTCTAATTTTGTCTACACTAAGCAGACTAAGAAACATTTTCAATCCAGACATTCTGAATAAATTAGCTGGCCTCAAAGGAAATCATTTCCTTGGATGTAAATTACAAGTCCAATGAAAGAAACTTCATATTTCTTTAGAGATAAATGAATATATTTTCTCTTAAGATAATGCTCAGTTACAACAAGAGCAGAGTTTTCAAGAGATTCAAAGGACCTTACTGACCATAAAACAAACTTACACTAGTCATATAATGATATAAATATTTGACTATCCATTTTGGTTGTGTTATTCTGCTGTCAATTCAAATTCTGTAATGTTCTTGTATCTATACCTATTTTCACCATAGTTCAAGGCCTAATTGCCTCTTTTCTGGACATAATGACCTTGTAACTGGTTTTCCTACAGTGAATCTCTATCAGTTCTGATTCATCACATACAATGTTTTCGTACTTATCAAAGCACAGCTCTATGTCACATCTTCTCCAGCTTGTCCTCCATTCAGAATCTCAAGCTTCCTATGCTCTAACCCCAAATCTTGCCTCCCTCCTACAGTATCCTTACATGCTGCTTACATGTAGGACTACTTCCTGATGGCCTACCATTTCCCATCCCTGAGGCTTTGCATTACTATTTTCTTTTTGGGTTTTTTTTTTTTTCTTTTTGAGACAGAGTCTTGCTCTGTTGGCCAGGCTGGAGTGCAGTGGTGTGGTCCTGGCTCACTGCGGCCTCTGCCTCCTGAGTTCACGCGATTCTCCTTCCTCAGCATCCCAAGTAGCTGGGACTGCAGGCGCCCGCCACCACCCGGGCTAATTCTTTGTATTTTTAGTAGAGACGGAGTTTGACCATCTTGGCCAGGCTGGTCTCAAACTCCTGAGCTTAAGTGACCCACCCACCTCGGCCTCCCAAAGTGATGGGATCACATGCGTGAGCCATCGCGCCCGGCCTACCTTCCCTTTTCTTCTCCCATGGCCAAGCACCTGAAAAAGTAGTCCCCTGAAAATGCCAATTTCAGCATGAAGACTTTTTTTTTTTCTGAGACAAGTCTCCCTCTGTCGCTCAGGCTGGAGTGCAGTGGCACCATCTCGGCTCACTGCAACCTCTTGCCTCCCGGATTCAAGCAATTCTTCTGCCTCAGCCTCCCGAGTAGCTGGGACTTCAGGCACACGCCACCACGCCCCACTAATTTTTGTATTTTTAATACAGATGGGGTTTCACCATATTGGCCAAGCTGGTTTCGAACTCCTGACCTTGTGATCTGCCCGACTCAGCCTCCCAAAGTGCTAGGATTACAGGTGTGAGCCACCGCGCCTGGCCAGCATGAAGACTTCTTTAACCCCCAGTGAGACATTAATGTGACCATTACCTTCTTTGAAATGCCATAGCACATTCTCTGTACTTTTTATATGCCATCATTCACATTCAACCTTGAATAATGCTTAATTGCAAGACCAACAGTATTTTTGTTTGTTTATTTTTGAGACAGAGTCTCACTCTGTCACCAGGCTGGAGTGTAGTGGTGCAATCTCGGCTCACTGCAAACTTCGCCTCCTGGGTTCAAGCGATTCTCCTACCTCAGCCTCCCGAGTAGCTGGGACTACAGGTGCATGCCACCATGCCCAGCTAATTTTTGTATTTTTAGTAGAGATGGGGTTTCACCATGTTAGCCAGGATGGTCTCTATCTCCTGACCTGGTGATCCACCCACCTCAGCCTCCCAAAGTGCTGGGTTACAGGCATGAGCCACTGTGCCCGGCCTTGTTTGTTTTTGAGATGGAGTTTCACTCTTGTTGCCCAGGCTGGAGTGCAATGGTGCAGTCTTGGCTCATTGCAGCCTCCACGTCCTGGGTTCAAGTGATTCTCCTGCCTCAGCCTCTCAAGTAGCTGGGATTACAGGCACAGGCATGTGCCACCATGTCCAGCTATTTTTTTTTTTTTTTTTTTTTGGTATTGAGTAGAGACAGGGTTTCACCATGTTGGTCAAGCTGGTCTTGAACTCCTGACCTTAGGTGATCCACCCACCTTGACCTCCCAAAGTGCTGGGATTACAGGCATGATCCACCATGCCTGGCCTTCGACCAACAGTATCTGAATACTGGCCTTGCTCGTAACTATCTGTGTGTCTTTGGTAAACTTACTTAACCTCTCTGTGTCCCAGGACCCTCTTCTATAAAATGTGATAATAAAAGTAACTATTTCATAGAGTTATGAGAGTTAGATAAATTAATATTTACAAAGTGCTTAGGACAGCATCAAACATATAATAAGTACTCTTTTAACAAACAATTTGTTAAATAAAATTTGTATGCTCATCTTCCCTACCCTGCCTACTGAACCTTACAGCAACCTTAAAATCAGCAGCAAATAATTCAACCAGGTAGCTCCTATACCTCTTATAAGATAATGAAATTAAAGACCTTTCCTAAAAGTTTACAAATTATTGAGAATGACATACCAGTAAAAGGCAGAGAAACAACTGCTGTAACAACAGAATGTGCAAAGTACGTAACATTTCCAGAGCACCAACCATGAACCAGGCACTGAGCAAGCTGAGCTAAATGCTACAGGAGCATTATCTCATAAGAACCATTTTAGCACATCAAGTGAAACAGCACGAGCTTTACCTCCCGGTGTTTCCCACCCTTGGAGTCCCGGAAAAATCACAGGAGCCAATTAAAAGAACACAGTTCTATGAATGATTATGCTGCAGAAGTGTGTGAAGAGTTATAACACCTAATCCATCTTTCAGTTAACACATCATGTACTTCCAATTTCCTCTCTGAGATCTCATGTTTAAAAAATGACTAGCCTTTCGATTTGAACTGGAAAGGATTTATAGAGGAGTTTAAGCAGAGTGTTGAGGAGTGGATACAATTTGTATATGTGTTAGGCTTAGCATAGGGCCTTTGTCATGGCAGGCACTCCATAAATACTTGCTGAATATACTAGTTAGTAAACCGAATAAGTAGGAATAGATTTGGATGGCTTGTAATAGTCATAAAACTATACTGAGAGTTAATGTGGTTAGCACGATTTTCTTTTAAATCTTGATTCACTTGTAATTAGTGTCACATAGATTGGGTATCTAATAAAATAAGTTTCTGTTTTTGTTTTTATTTCTTGAGACAGTCTCGCCTTCTCGTTCAGGCTGGGGTGCAGTGGCATGATCACTGCTCACTGCAGCCTTGACCTCTGGGGCTCAGGTGACCCTCCCACCTCAACCTCCCAAGAAGTTGGGACTACAGGTATGTGCCACCACACCTGGCTAATTCTTTTATTTTTTATGTATTTATTTATTTATTTAATTTTTTAGAGATGGAGTCTCGCTCTGTCGCCCAGGCTAGAGTGCAGTGGTGCAGTCTCGGCTCACTGCAAGCTCTGCCTCCCACGTTCACACCATTCTCCTGCCTCAGCCTCACTGCAAGCTCTGCCTCCCGGGTTCACACCATTCTCCTGCCTCAGCCTCCCGAGTAGCTGGGACTACAGGGGCCCACCACCACATCCAGCTAATTTTTTGTATTTTTAGTAGAGATAGGGTTTCACCATGTTAGCCAGGATGGTCTTGATCTCCTGACCTCATGATCCGCCCGCCTCAGCCTCCCAAAGTGTTGGGATTACAGGCGTGAGCCACCACGCCCAGCCTAATTCTTTTATTTTTAATTTTGTATGGATGGGGTCTTTCTTACTATGTTGCCAAGGCTGGTTTCAAATCTTGGGGCTAAAGTGATCCTCCCTCCTCAGCCTCCCAAAGTGCTGGAACGACAGGCGTGAGCCACTGTACCCGGCCAAATAAAATAAGTTTTAGTGATTCAGTTCTACAAACATTATCAAGTGATTAACAAAGGCTTTAGACAGGAAGATCCAGTACAAAGGTGTGAAAAATCTATGAAAAGTGAACAACTACAAGGATACAGGGAAGCATGAAAGACTTACTCTCTGCCCTCAAGAGGCTCACAATTCAGAGGACAGGATTCACACCCATCATCCTGTGCATGTTACAGAAATAAAGAACAACAGGAAAATGGAGGAGAAAAACAGTGACACTGTCTAGGGGATGGAGAATTCTAGGGAGGTTTGCTAAAGGCTATCAGGTATATAAAAAGAATATTTTGGACAGAGGAAACAGCATAAGTGAGGAACAGAACTAGAAGTGAGAAAGAAACACTGAGCTGAAGAACGATGGAAAAGGTGGAAGAATATACTTTCTTGGAGTAATTTTAAGAAAAATGTAAATACGTACCCTTCCAGTTAGCTGAAATTCACTAGTGTCCAGAGGCTAGACCCCATCTTCAAGTCCTATGAATCTACATATTGACAACTATGAGTCTTCATTCAATCTGTTTTGTTTTGTTTTTGTTTTTGTTTTTGTGTGTGTGTGTGTGTGTGTTTTTGAGACAGGGTCTTGTTCTGTTGCCCCGGCTGGAGTGCAGTGGCATAATCATAGCTTACTGCAGTCTCCAACTCTTGGGCTCAAGTGAGCCTCCCACCTCAGCCTCCCAGGTACACAGACTATAGCTATGTACCACTATGCCCAGCTATCTTTATTTTCATTTGTTTTTTTGTGGTTATTTTTTTTTTTTGAGACTGAGTCTTGCTCTTGTTGCCCAGGCTGGAGTGCAATGGCACAATCTCAGTTCACTGCAATCTCCGCCAACCAGGTACAAGCAATTCTCCTGTCTCAGCCTCTCAAGTAGCTCAAATTACAGGCATGCGCCATCACGCCTGGCTTTTTTTTTTTTTTTTTGTATTTAGTAGAGACGGGGTTTCACCACGTTAGTCAGGGTGGTTGTGAACTCCGGACCTCAGGAGTGATTCTCCTGCCTCAGCCTCCCGAATAGCTGGGATTATAGGCATGTGCTGCCATGCCCGCCTAATTTTTGTTATTTTTTGGTAGAGATGGGTTTCACCATGATAGCCAGGCTGCTCTCAAACACCTGACCTGAAGTGACCCTCCCTCCTTGGCCTCCCAATGTGCTGGGATTACAGGCATGAGGCAAAGTGCCTGGCCCTCTGGCCTACTTTTATTTTGTAGAGCTGAGGTCTCACGCTATGTGCCCAGGCTGCCTTCACTCATTCATTTAGAAAATACTTATTCATTTAGCCAATGGGCATTGAGTATCTAATACGTGCCAGACACTGTTTTAGTGCTTGCTTTATTCAGTAGTAGACAAGCAAACAAATTCCTGCCCTCACAGAGCTTATATTCTTGTGTGTAGGAGGAGGAGACAAAAACAATAAACAAATAAGTAAAATACATAAAACTATTATACAATGACAAGTGCTACAGAGAAAAATAAAACATGGAAGGAGGACTGGGAGTATTGGTGGGTACAATTTTAAATAGGAGAGTCAGAGGATGTCTTACTGAAAAAAGTGAGGGAAAAGCCAAAGGCTTTTATCCCACTGCATGGGGATACGTGCAAGGCCCTGGAGGGCAGTAAGGTAGCATGCCCTGGAATTTCAAGGAACACTGAGGACAGTGTGGCCAGAGCTGAGTGACAGAAAAGGAATAGTTATAAAAAATGAGGTCACAGAGGGCCGGGCGTGGTGGCTCACACCTGTAGTCCCAGCACTTTGGGAGGCCAAGATGGGCGGATCACGAGGTCAGGAGATCAAGACCATCCTGGCTAACACGGTGAAACCCTGTCTCTACTAAAAATACAAAAAATTAGCTGGGCGCGGTGGCAGGCGCCTATAGTCCCAGCTACTCAGGAGGCTGAGGCAGGAGAATGGCGTGAACCTGGGAGGCAGAGTTTGCAGTGAGCTGAGATCGCGCCACTGCACTCCAGCCTGGGCGATAGAGCGAGACTCTGTCTCCAAAAAAGAAAAAAAGAGATCACAGAGATAATGAGTCGAGAAATACAAATGGTGTAGAGGACTTGTGTCATTCTGATTGGGATGAAAAATCTGTGGAAGGTTTTAAGCAGAGGAGTGATATGATATGACTTAGTTTTGAAAGGACCAGGCTGGGCATGGTGGCTCACTCCTGTAATCCCAATACTTTGGGAGGCCAAGGCGGGCAGGTCACAAGGTCAGGAGTTCGAGACCAGCCTGGCCAATATAGTGAAACCCCGTCTCTACTAAAAACACAAAAATTAGCCGGGCATGGTGGTGCACACCTGTAGTCCCAGCTACTCGGGAGGCTGAGGAAGAAGAATCGCTTGAACCCGGGAGGCGGAAGTTGCAGTGAGCCGAGATCGCGCCATTGCACTCCACTGGGCGACACAGCGAGACTCTGTCTCAAAAAAAAAAAAAAAAAAAAGAAAAGACCACTTAGGCTGCTACATTAAAAACAGACTGACAAGGGTACTAATAGGAAGACCAGTTAGGAGGCCACTGCAGAAATCTAGGTCAGAGACCAGACTGGTCCCAGGATTGAGAGGCAGCTGGATTATAGATATATTTAGAAAGTAGAGGCAGCAGAATTTCCTGATAGATTTGTCTATCAAGGAATGAGGAAAAGAAGATTCAAAGATGACTCTAAAGTTTTGGGCTTGGGTAACTGGAAAGATGACAGCACTGTCATTAATTTAGATGGAGAAGCCTGTAAGATGACCATGTCAAAGGTGAACTTGCTAAGCTTGAAATGTGTATGCAAGTGGAGATGTCAAGTGGGCAATAAGACAGTCAAGTCTACAAAACAGCAGAGAGATTTAGGCTAAAACAAACATTTGGAAGATGTCAGCTTAGAAATAGTATTTAAGCCCATAGAACTGGATAAGATTACCAAGGAAATGTATAGAGGCAAATAAGACTTACAAGAACTAATATCTTGGGTTTTCCAAAATGAATACGAAATGGGGTCAGAAAGGAGGGTGTACAGAGATAGAAATTAAATTACGATAAATGAGGGATGCCCTAGGAGTCCAGAACTTCTTGTGGTGCTTGACATAAACACAATGAGATTAGAGCTGATGGTCTCAAGGACAAATATGGCAGCGAGGTTGTGAGTTCTGGGAGACAGGGAAAGCCAGGAGTTTGACTAGAAGTCCAGTGTAGTAGAACCACTCCTGTCAATGGGCATGTACACAAGAGAGAAGACAGTACTATCCTGGGCATGTGGGGTTCAGCAGTGGCCTCCTCTTGCAGTCAGTGGAGGTACAGTATCATGGGCTTCTTCTTGAGGATTCTTTTATTTGAACATATCTATTGTTAAATACTGTCTTTTATGTATAAACTAGGAAAAGCTATACCAATAATCAATGGAACATCATCTCTCTCCTCTGCACTATTCTCCAGAGGACCTTTGACCAACTCCTTTCATTCCTTTAAGAAGAGGACTATCAGCTCCTAATTCCCTAAAAGAAATGTATTCCTTGAAGGCCAGAGAATCAAACATTCCTCAAACAGATTTTAGCGCCATCTGTTCTCGCCAGTGCTACAAAGAACCTATGAAATTATGCTTTTGTAATTTCACACTTCTCTGAAGAATATGTGTAGTTTCAAATTAAAATAAACCAAAACTCCTATTTTAGAAGCTTAAGAGTGGGAAAGAATCTCAAGAGGCCATTCAGCCTATTTTTCAGCCTGTCCTATACAAGATGGAGAATTGTACAAATACATGATTTCACAGATTCTTGTATCACAACCAACATAAACTTCTCTATTCCTATCTTTTTGGTGTTGAGTAAAGAGTTAACAAAACCTTGTTCCTTTTTGTGTGAGACTTCGATAGGTTAACTCTTTGGCTATATCACTGCAGTGACCTGATCAAAGTTTGAACGTCTATTACATTACCAGAAAAAAAAAATGATGTATTTTCTTTTACAGTTATATTTAAAATAACTGATGAATTACACATATTTAAAGTGTACAATTTGATGAATTTTGACATGTGCATATACTCATAAAAAGGCACTTGCAATCACCCCCCAAAATTTCCTTGAGCCCCTTTGTAATATATGGTTCCCTCACCCTCCTTCAAGCCAAAGGTCACTAAGATTTTTATCTTATGTCTTCTTTCAGAAGTTTTAGTTTTAACTCTGTATAAATCTATGAACCATTTCCAATTAATTTTTGTACATGGTATGAGGTAAAGGTTGAGGTTCATCTTCTTTTTCAAACAACTGGCTATACAATTATAAAGACCATTTTTGTTCAAAAGATTATCCTTTTGCTAATGAACTGCCTTGGCATCTTTACGGAAAAGCTATTGAGCATCTGTAAGCATCTATGTTTTGACTCTCTGTTCTGTTCCATTGGTCTATTCATATATATTTACACCCAAACAATACTGCTTTGATCACTCTACTTTTAAAATACATCTTAACAGCCGGGCACGGTGGCTAATGCCTGTAATCCCAGCACATTGGGAGGCCGAGGTAGGTGGATCACCTGAGGTCAGGAGTTCGAGACCAGCCTGGCCAACATGGAGAAACCCCGTCTCTACTAAAAATACAAAATTAGCTGGGCGTGGTGGCATGTGCCTGTAATCCCAGGTACTCGGGAGGATGAGGCAGGAGAATCACTTGAACCCAGGATGCGGAGGTTGCAGTGAGCTGAGATTGCACCATTGCACTCCAGCCTGGGCAACAAGAGCGAACCTCTGTCAAAAAAAATAAAGGTCTTAACATCATCTAAGAAGTCCTGGAATTATTTTCTTTTTCTCTTTTTTTTTTTTTTTTGAGACAGAATCTCCCCCTCTCTGTCACCAGGCTGGAGTGCAATGGCGCAATCTCAGCTCACTGCAACCTCTGCCTCCCGGGTTCAAGAGATTCTCCTGCCTCAGCCTCCCAAGTAGCTGAGATTACAGGCACACATTACCACGCCCAGCTTATTTTTGTATTTTTAGTAGAGATGGGATTTCACCATGTTGGCCAGGATGGTCTCGATCTCCTGACCTCGTGATCTGCCCACCTTGGCCTCCCCAAGTGCTGGGATTACAGGCCTGAGCCACTGCGCCTGGCTATTATGTTCTTTTTCAAAGTTGTTTTGGCTCTTCTAGGTTCTTTTTATCCCCATATAAATTTCAGGATCAGTACCTCAATTTTTATTTGTTTTTATTTTATTTTTTTTTTGAGATGGAGTTTTGCTCGTTACCCAGGCTGGAGTACAATGGTGCGATCTCGGCTCACTGTAACCTCCACCTCCCGTGTTCAAGTGATTCTCCTGCCTCAACCTCCTGAGTAGCTGGGATTATAGGTATGCGCCACCACGCCCAGCTAATTTTGTGTTTTTAGTAGAGATGGGGTTTCACCATGTTGGTCAGGCTGGTCTCAAACTCCTGACCTCATGTGATCCGCCCACATCGGGCTCCCAAAGTGTTAGGATTACAGGTGTGAGCCACTGTGCCCAGCCAATTTTTATTTATAAAAAAGCCTACTCGTATTTTGATTGGGATTGTGTTGAAGCTACAGATCAATTTGGGGACTACTGCAATCTTAACAGTACTGAGTCTACCAATCCATAAATATTATATATCTCTACTTAGGTCTTTAAATTCTCGTAACAATATTTTGTAGTTTTCAGTGTATAAGTATTACAGATCATTTAAGAAATTTATCCCAAATTATGTCATATTTTTGATGTTGTGGTTTTTTCTTTGAGACAGGGTCACACTCTGTCACCCAGAGTGAAGTGCAGTGACACAATCTCAGCTCACTGCAACCTCTGCCTCCTAGGCTCAAGTGATCCTCCCACCTCAGCCTCTTGAGTAGCTGGAACTACAGGCATGTGCCATGACACCTGGCTAATTTTTGTATTTTTTGTACAGACAGGTTCTCACCGTGTTGCCCAGGCTGGTCTAGAACTCCTGGGCTCAAGCAATCAGCTCACCTTGTCCTCCAAAGTGTTGGAATTACAGGTGTGAGCCACCACACCTGGCCTACTGTATCGTTATTAAATTTCTATATTCAATTGTTCATTGCTAGTATACCAAAATACTACTGATTTTTATACAATAATCTCACGACTTTGCTAACTTCACTTAGTAGATCTAGTGGCCATTTTGTAGACTCCATAAGGATTTGCTACATAGACAGCCATGTTATCCATGAATACCGACAGTCTTTTTTTATATATATAATTTTATGACTCTTATTTTTTTTCCCCTTATTACATGGGCTAGAAGCTCCATTACAATGCTCAATAAAAACAGGAGTGAACATCCCGTTCTTGTTTCCAATCTTAAAGGGGAAGCACTCAGTCTGTTACCATTAGAGATGTTATAGATTTTTCATAGATAATCATTAGCTTGTGAAAGTTCTCTTCTTAGATTGCCAAGATACACACACACACACACACACACACACACACACACACACACACACATACAATCATGCTCTCTCTAATCTTGAATGGAAGTAGGATTTCGTCAACTGCTTTTGCTGTATCATATGGTTTTCCTTTTTCATCCTGTTAAAGGATCCTGTATCCTAAACTATGGAATGAGTTTTGAATGTTAAACCAACTTAGCATTCCTGAAATAAACCATGTTTAGTCATAATATACATTATTATTTTATGTATTGTTAGAGTGGATTTACTAAAAATTTGTTAACTATTTATGCAAATAACTTCATGAGAGGTATGATGTATAGTTTTCATTTTTTGTAATGTCTTTTTTTGGTTTTGTTATTAGTATAAGGCTGACCTCATAGAGTAAGATTCCTTCTCTTCTATTTTCTTGGTGTGTTTGCACAGAAATGGTGTTATTTCTTCCTTCATTGTTAAGTTACCAGTGAAACCATCTGAACTAGGACTTTTCTTTGTGAGAAGGTTTTAAACAATAAAGTCAATTCTTTTAATAAATACAGGGCTATTTAGGTTATCTATTTAATCTTGAGAGCTGTGAAAACTTACTGTTCAAATAATTTGCCTATTTTATCTAAGTTGAACGCACACTGACCAAAACATGTTCATACTGTCTATCGGACCTGTAATGATAGTTTCCCTCTTTTACATCCTAAAAAGGTAATTTGTGCTTTCCCTATCTAATCAGTCTAACTAGAGGTTTATCAATTTTATTGCTCTTCTCAAAGAACTGGCTTTTGGTTTCATTAATTTTCTTTATTGTTTTTGTCTTCTATTTTATGGATTGCTTATCTTTATTATTTCTTCTATTTTGTATTTCATTTACTCTTTGTTGTCTAATTACTTAAGGTAGACGAGTAGGTCATTGATTTGAGATGTCTTTTTTTCTTTCTTTTTTTTTTTTTTCTGAGACAGAGTCTTGCTCTGTCACCCAGGCTGGAGTGCAATGGCGTGATCTCGAGTTACCGCAACCTCCACCTCCTGGGATTACAGACACGCACCATCATGCCCGGATAATTTTTTTGTATTTTTAGTAGAGGTGGGGTTTCACCATGTTGGCCAGGTTGGTCTCAAACTCCTGACCTCAAGTGATCCCCCCAACCTCAACCTCCCAAAGTGCTGAGATTACAGGCATGAGCCACCGCACCTGGCCTTTTTTTCTAATACAAGGGTTTAATGCTATAAATTTATCTCTAATCATTGTTTTAGCTGTATCCCCAATTTTTATATCTCATGTTTTCATTTTCAAGCAGTTCAAAATATTTTATAATTTTCCTTTTGGTTTATTCTTTGACCCATGGATTATTGGGAAATGTACACTTTATTTCCAAATATTTGGGAATTTTCTAGAGATCTTTCTGGCATTGGTTTCTTATTTAAAGCTGTGTGGTCACAGACCACATTCTGTATGATTTGAATCATCTTACATTTATTGAGACCTCTTTTACACCACAGAAAATGGTCTATTTTGTAAATGTTCTGTGTGCACTGGAAATGAATGTGCATTCTGATGCTGTTGTGCGGAACATTTTATAAAAATCAATTAAGTAAAATTGGCTGTGTTCTTCAAGTTTTCCATAGTCCCGCTGATTTTCTATTTACTACTTCCTTCAATTAGTGACACAGGGTTATTGAAATCTCCAAATATTATTGTGGGTTTCTCCATTTAACCTTTTGTTTTACCAGTTCTCTCACTGTGCATTTTGAAGCTCTGTTATTTAGATACATGTTTTGAAATTGTTGTATCATTTTGATAAATTGATCCCTTTATAAATATGGTATGTATTTCTTTATCCCTGGTTGTAATATATGTTCTGAAATAACCTAGATATTAATATAGCCATTTCAGCTTTAATTAATATTACTATGCTATCTTTTCTACCCATTTAGTTTTTTTTTTTTTTTTGAGACCAGTCTCACTCTGTCGCCCAGGCTGGAGTGCAGTGGCGTGATCTCGGCTCAGTGCAACCTCCACCTCCCAGATTCAAGCAATTCTCCTGCCTCAGCCTCCCGAGTAGCTGGGATTACAGGCACCCACCACCAAAGCCCAGCTAATTTTTGTGTTTACTAGAGACGGGGTTTCACCATGTTGGCCAGGCTGGTCTCACACGCCTGACCTCAGGTGATGCACCCGCCTTGGCCTTCCAAAGTGTTGGGATTACAGGCATCAGCCACTGCACCCGGCTGTGGTTTCTTTTCTTTTTTTTTTTTTTTTTTTTTTTTTGAGATGGAGTTTCACTCTTGTTGCCCAGGCTGAAGTGCAATGGCAGGATCTCGGCTCACTGCAACCTCTGCCTTCTGGGTTCAGGTGATTCTCCTGCCTCAGCCTCCCGAGTAGGTGGGACTACAAGCATGCACCACCATGCCTGGCTAATTTTGTATTTTTAGTAGAGACGGGGTTTTGCCATGTTGGCCAGGCTGGTCTCGAACTCCTGACCTCAAGTGATCTGCCTGCCTCGGCCTCCCAAAGTGTTGGGATTACAGGCGTGAGCCATCACGCCCAGCCCCGGCCGTGTTTTTCTTATACGTATGTTTCTTACACAACATACAGATGAATCTTCCTTATTCAGTCTCACAATCTCTGCCTTTTACTTGAAGGTATTTAGATCATTTATATTTGAGTCATTTTTTTTAATATGGCTGGATTTAAATTTACTATCTTGCTATTTATTATTTGTCCCATCTCTTGTTATCTTTTTCAGCCTTCTTTTATGATTCCATTTTATTATTTTTGTTGATTAGATATACCTACCCATTTTGATTTTTTTAGTGGTTGCTTTTGGGTTTATATTACGTATCTTTAACTTATCAATAAACTTTTAAGTAAAATTATACCACATCACATGTCATATACTTCCATATCCTCTTCCCTGGCCTTTTTGTTACCGTTCTACATTTTTGTCTCTACATATGGTATAAATTCCGCAATACATTACTATTTAATATATGTTATTTTATTTTAGAGACAGGGTCTCATTCCATTGCCCAAGCTGGAGTGGAATGGTGTGATCATAGTTCACTGCAACCTCCAATCACTGGGCTCAAGCAATCCTCCTGCCTCAGCCTAGAGAGTAGCTAGGAATACTGGTATGTGCCACCATACCCAGCTAATTTTTGTATTTTTTGTAAAGATGGTGTCTCATTTTGTTGCCTAGCTGTCCTTGAACTCCTGGCTTCAAGCAATCCTCCCACCTCAGCCCCTCAAAGTGCAGGGATTACAGGCATGAGCCACTGCACCCGGCCAAACATTTAATTTGAAACAGTTAATTGTCTTTTAAAAAGATGTTATGTTTACCTATAAATTTATCATTTCTGTCACTTTTCATTCCTTTGTGTAGATCCAGATTTCCAATATTTGGTATTCTCCTTGATGGACTTTACATTTCTTGTGGAACAGGTCTGTTGGTGATAAATTATATGTATCCGAGAAAACGCTTTGCCTCAGTGGCACGATCTCAGCTCACTGCAACCTCTGCCGCCCAGATTTCAAGCAATTCTCGTGCCTCGGCCTCCTGAGTAGCTGGGACTACAGGCGCCCACCACCGCGCCTGGCGGTTTTTGCTTTTTTTTTTCTTTTTGAGACCGGGTCTCACTCTGTAGTCCAAGTTGGAGTGCAGTGGTGCAATCTCGGCTCACTGCAACCTTTGCCTCAAGTGATTCTCCTGCCTTAGCCTCCCAAGTAGCTGGGACTAGAGGCGCGCGCCACCACACCCGGTTAATTTTTTTCTATTTTTAGTAGAGACCAGGTTTCACCACGTTGCCCTAGGTGGTCTCGAACTCCTGAGCTCAGATGATCCACCCGCCTTGGCATCCCAAACTACTGGGATTACAGGCGTGAGCCACAGCACCTGGCGTACTTTTGTACTTTTAGTAGAGATGGGGCTTTCACCATGTTAGCCAGTTTGGTCTCGAACTCTTGGCCTCAAGTGATCCGCCCATCTTGGCCTTCCAAAGTGCTGGGATTATGGGTGTGAGTCACTGCGCCCAGCCTGCCTTCATTTTTAAAACGTATTTTTACTGGGTATAAAATATAGGATGACAGTTTTTCTTTTCAGCATTTTAAAGATTTTGCTGCACTGTCTTGCAACTTGCATTGTTTTCATGAGAAATATGCTGTCACTTTTGTATTTGCAAAATACCTAAGTATATAAGGAAGATTTCTTCCCTCAAGCTGCTTTTAAGGTTCTCTTTATGTGAATTTTTATACAATTTGATTATGATCATAACATTTCTTAATGTAGTTTTTATCCTGTTTCTTGCAATTGGGGTTCATTGAGCTTCTTGGATCTGTAAGTTTATAATTTTCATTAAATTTGGAAATTTTTTAACCATTGTTTCTTCAAATATTTTTTAGGTCCACCACCTTTTCTCTCCTTTGGGTACTTCAATTACAGAATTTGGCTGCCTGACATTCCACAACTCGATGACGTGCTGTTTATTTAATTTTTCAGCCTTTTCTCTGTGTTTCATTTTGGATCATTTCTGTTGTTATGTTTTCATGATCACGAGTTTTTTCTTCAGCATTGTCTAAACTGCATTTAATTTCATCCAACATACTTTTCATCCCGTTGCCACCTACATTTCTTAAAGCTTGATTTGGGTCTTTTTTATATCTTCCATAGCTCTCCTTAATGTGCCCATTCTTTCATCCTTTTCAAGCTTTCTTTAAAGCTTATTAGGTAGGATCAGAGCAGTTTGAATCTGTACATAATTTGAGTCATTAGACATAATGTGGCCCATGTAGTACAAGAACCTTTGTCACTCTGGCTGGTAAGAATACAAACTATTCCTGGCCCTGTGAGAATTGTTCTACCCATTTCTTTGCAGTGCTTTCCTCGTATAGACACACTGACTAGTAAGTAATCAGCTAAGACTCCAGAAATCTTTCCAGATCTCCTGAATTTTTAAAACACTTCTGGCAATCGGTCCTGCAAATTCTAACCATCGTAGGCTCTCTATATTTCTCAACTCTGTCTCCTCAAGTCAGGGAGACCTCTAAGTCAGTTTGGGTTTCCCCTACCCGCTCTATGGCCTGAAAACTACAGGCAGTAAGATAGGGTAAGCAGAAGACTCACCTTCTCTGCCCATTATCTTTTGTTTTTATCATACTTTGTCTTGATATTTAGTTGTTTAAGGTGGACTGGTGTGATAGCATGCTTGCACAGCTATATCAAAGTACAAGCTGGATGGCTTAAATAACAGAAATGCATTGTCTTACATTTCTGGAGGCTAGAAGTCCAAAATCAAGCCCAAAATCAACATCAGCAGAGATAGTTCCGTCTGAGGGCTGTGAAAGAAGGATCTGTTTCCAGGCCTCTATCCTTGGCTTGTAGTTGGCCATCTTCTCCCTATGTCTCTTCACATCATCTTCCCTATATGTGTGTCTGTTTCCATATTTCCCCTTCTTATAAGGACACCAGTCATATTGGATTTCGACCTGCTCTAATGACTTCATTTAAACTTGATTACCTTTGTAAAGACCCTCTCTCCAAATAAAGTCATATTCTGAGGTACTGGGAGGTTACAACTTCAATATATGAACTTTAGAGGGACACAATTCAATCCATACAATCAATCCTTACTATTCCAACATGGGCAAAAGTGAAAGATAATAAATTATATTTGAACAGGGAGAACCGTACACCCCTGATAGATAGCCATAACTTTGGTCTTACTTCAATAGTCACTCTTGTAGCAGAGCAAGTCCCCTAGAGACACCCTGGAATCTATGCCTATGAAGTTTTTCCAAGAGATATTGGTTGCTGTCAGGAATAAGACTTCTAAGCCAGGACAGCTCCTACACCTGCCTGATGTGAATCTTGTCATTTGAGCAGTTATCTGGGGCTGGAGGAAGGCCCAAAAAGATGCTCCCAATTAGCTACGTTAGATGCTACATGGGTTGTTGCAAAGACTGTCAAAGGTAACAAACGCCTGACACTGTACTACTATCAAGCTATGGTTCATGTTCCACATCCTTATGGGAACCCTAGGGTTAAGTATATCCTATAACCAAATAACCTCATGAGTCTCAAAGTGTAATAGAGCCTATGCATATTAATGGTGGATGCTGTGCTATTCCTTTATAGTCTTCTTTTCCTTATATTAAATACCTACAGTTAGATTCAATATATATTTTGTTAAATGATGTTTTGAGTCTTCGCCACTTCACCTTCTTATAGATTTACCCAGATGTCCTCTACATCCTAAGGGAATTTAGCTATATTGGGAAGTTAGATACATCCTACAAGCACATGAAAATGAGAAGTTTGTAACACAAGTTCAATAAGTTAACCAAATGAAGCCAGGTGTGGTGGCTCATGTCTGTAATCCCAGCTCTTTGGGAGGCTGATGTGGACAGATCACCTAAGGTCAGGAGTTCGAGACCAGCCTGGCCAACACAGCAAAACCCCGTCTCTACTAAAAATACAAAAATTAGCTGGGCATGGTGGCGTTTGCCTGTAATTTCAGCTACTCAGGAGGCTGAGGCAGGAGAACTGCTTGAGTCCAGGAAGCGAAAGTTGCACTGAGCCAAGATTGTACTATTGCACTCCAGCCTGGGCGATGGAGTGAGACTTCATCTAAAAAAAAAATAAATAAATAAAAATAAAAATTAACCATATGAACAATTAATCTGAATGATAAAAATGAACACAACAACAATAGCATACAATTTATGTACAATTATAGTATACCAGGCTAATACACAACACTAGTTATTTGACACGTGAT
Organism: Homo sapiens; assembly: GCF_000001405.40. Classification (NCBI taxonomy): domain Eukaryota; kingdom Metazoa; phylum Chordata; class Mammalia; order Primates; family Hominidae; genus Homo; species Homo sapiens. The sequence goes on along the minus strand of NC_000001.11, from coordinate 52,311,660 downwards.
TGAAATGTCACAAAACTTCACAATATGAGCATACCCATATTCCAGAAGAGAGATTAACCCACTAAGGTAATACAGCTAGTAATTAAACATCAATCCAGCTGGGAGTGGTGGCTCACGCCTATAATCCCAGCACTTTGGGAGGCTGAGGCGGACAGAACACCTAAGGTCAGGAGTTTGAGACCAGCCTGGCCAACATGGTGAAACCCTGTCTCTACCAAAAATACAAAAATTAGCTGGGCGTGGTGGTGCACGCTTGTAATCCCAGCTACTCAGGAGGCTGAAGCAGGAGAATCGCTTGAACCTAGGAGGTGAAGGTTGCAGTGAGCCAAGATCGTGCCACCACACTCCAGCCTGGGTGACAAGAGTGAAACTCCATCTCAAAAAAAAAAAAAAAAAAAATCAATCCAAGGTCTATTTGATTCTAACATCTCTTCTTCTTTCACTATGGCTCATCATTTTTCTGATCTTAAACAAACATATTAAATAACAGTCATTGCCAGACATGGTGGCTCATGCTTGTAATCTCAGCACTTTGAGGAGGCCAAGGCAGAAGAACTGCTTGAGCTCAAGAGTTCAAGACCAACCTGGGCAACGCAGTAAGACCTCATCTCTACAAAAAATTTAAAAATTAGCTGCGCACAGTGGTGCACACCTGTAGTCCCAGCTTCTTCAGGGGATGAAGTGGGGGAATCCCTTGATCCCAGGAGGCTACCAGTGAGCTACGATTACACCACTGCACTCCTGCCTGGGCAACACAGCAAGACCCTGTCTCAAAAAAGAAAACAATGACAACAACAACAAAAAACTAGTCACATATTAGGAAATGCCCCAGAGGTAATTTTAGTTCTACCGTTCCATGAGACTTCAGTATTTAAGTGCATGTACTAGCTATGCCAGTGATCTGGTTACATACAAAATGTAAATAGAACCACATACAATCACTTTAACTCATCAGCCCTAAAACTAAATTGGTAATTATTTAAACTAAAGTCTACAGTGCAGTGGTTAAGAGTAGGGACACCAGAATCAGAAAGCCCAGGTTTGATGGCAGCTCCACCACTTGCTAGCTGTACGATCATGGGCAAGTTACTTAAGTTCTATGTGTCTTTTTTTGCTTTTTTAAGAGATGGGGTCTTGCTATGTTGCCTAGGCTGGCCTCCACCTCCTGGGTTCAAGTGATCCTCCCACCTCAGCCTGTACCTAGGACTATACACATTCACTATGGCACCCAGCTAAGTTCTCTGTATCTTAATTTCCTCATCTGTAAAAAGGTAGTTAGCATACTCATGTCATAGAGTTAGTGTAAAGATACATATATGCTTAGAATAGTGCCTGGTACATACTAAATATTTATTATTAGTTAATACAATGGTGAAAATAATCTCATTGTAACAACATGAGGCCCAGTGCAATGGTGCAATCCAAGCACTTTGGGAGGCTGAGGCAAGCAGATCGCTTGAGCCCAGGAGTTCAAGACCAGCCTGGGCAACAAGGGGAAATCTCATCCCTATTAACAGAAAATTTGGCCGGACATGATGGTGTGTGCCTGTAGTCCCAGCTACTCAGGAGGCTGAGGTGGGAAGATCACCTGAGCCTGGGATGCAGAGGTTGCAGTGAGCCGAGATCACACCACCACTGTACTCCAGCTGGGCAACAGAGCGAGAGCAAGACTCTGTCTCAAAAAAATACATATATATATGAACCAGGTGACCTTAACCAACAAGGATCTTTAATGGCCTTGACAAAAGAGATTAGAAATTTTATATACAATGCTTATTAAAATTTCCATGCCGTCAGAAGTACTATCTTCTAGCTTTCTAAGCTTAAAGTCTTTCCTTAGTCCCTCCCTCCCTCCTCATTTTCCATATAGCCACCAAACTCAGTTTTCCAAAATCCTGCTTTCATTAAGTCACTTTTTCTGCTTAAGAACCTATAAAAGCTCTTTATAAATTATCATATTAAAATCTAAATTCCTCTGAGTGGATTTTGAAGCCAGCAGTCTTAGTACAACCTCACATCCCACAAAGCCATCAGTCTGCTTTAACCCCCTCTTTGCTAGGCACTTTGTTGTCTCCCATTTCCCTATGAGCTATGCTCCTTCCCTTCCTTTGTGTAGGCAGGTATCTATCCCCCTTTTCACTTAAGGTCTTTTCTGCCCTTTTTTGCTTTTGTTTTTGTTTTTGAGACAGGGTCTCACTCTGTCACCCAGGCTGGAGTGCAGTGGAGAAATCTCAGCTCACTGCAGTCTCGACTTCCTGGGCTCAGGTGATCCTCCCACCTCAGCCTCCCAAGTAGCTGGGACTACGGGGCATGCGCCACCATGCCCAGCTAATTTTTTGTATTTTTTGTAGAAATGGGGTCTTGCCATGTTGCCCAGGCTGATCTTTAAATCCTAGGCTCAAGCAATCTGCCCACCTTGGCCTCCCAAAGTACTGGGATTACAAGCGTGAGTCACCATGCCGTCTGCCCTTCTCTTTCTAGTGCCTAGTTATCATTCATTATCCATTTCAAATCTTTCATTCATCTAGTTATTTGGTGAACATTTACGAACATCTCCTACATGCAATGTGTTGCTCTGTTAGGGATTCAGGGTCAATAAGAAATTAAGAAACATTGGTGTCTATTCTATTCATCCTCTAGAGATCTACTTTCTCTGTACCTTTAGTATACTTGCAATAAATTTCACCATTTGTTTTCATATTGTTTTATCTATATTAGATCTGTTTCATGTCTTCATCCAACAGATATTTCTTGCTAACCCACTCCGTACTAGGGTGTTTGCTGATGATACCTGTGGTATACAAGATAGACATAGTCCCTCATGGAACTCACAGCAGAGAAAACAGACACACAACAAGGAATTACAAATGTACTGATTATTACAAATAGTATGCATAGAATTCTAGGAATGCATATAATAGAGTTACCCCAGTTGGGAGTTAAATCAAAGTATATGTGAAAAAAATGTCATTTACAGTGACACCTGAATAATGAGTGGGGGTTAGGCAGGTGAAGAGTAGGGGAAGTATGAATCAATAAGGAACCAGCTCTGCAAAAGCCATGAACAAAAGAGCACAAAATATGGGCAATAATAAGAAAGACTATGAGTATAAATGGAAAAAATGAATGAGAGGAAAAGAAGAATATTGTGATTAAATAAAATGTACAAGAAAATTATGGCCGGGTGTAGTGATGCCTGTAATTCCAGCACTTAGGGAAGCCAAGATGGGAGTATCACTTAAGCCCAGGAGTTCAGGATCAGCCTAGACAACATGGAGAAATCCTCTCTCTACAAAACAAAAAAATACAAAAATTAGCTGGGTGTGATGGTACACGCCTGTAGTCCCAGCTACTTAGGAGGCTGAAGTGGGAGGATCACTTGAGCCCAGGAAGTTGAGACTGCAGTGATCCATGATTGTGCCACTGCACTCTAGCCTTGGTGACACAATAAGACCCTGTTTCCAAAAAGAAAAGAAAAGAAAAAAGAAATTACTTTTTCAACTATGAAGTGGAATTATTAGACACAACACAATTTAACTGTATGAGATTGTAGGAGATAAAATTATGTTGAGTTAAAATAAAAATTAAATCAGAAGGAAAATTGTTTGTGGCCGGGCACAGTGGCTCACGCCTGTAATCCCAGCACTTTGGGAGGCCAAGGTGGGTGGATCACGAGGTCAGGAGATCGAGACCATCCTGGCTAACACGGTGAAACCCCGTATCTACTAAAAATACAAAAAAATTAGCCGGGCGTGGTAGCGGACACCTGTAGTCCCAGCTACTCGGGAGGCTGAGGCAAGAGAATGGCGTGAACCCGGGAGGCGGAGCTTGCAGTGAGCCGAGATCGCTCCACTGCACTCCAGCCTGGGTGGCGGAGCAAGACTCCGTATCAGAAAAAAAAAAAAAAAGAAGAAAAAAGAAAATTCAGTTTGCTAATCAGGTAAGAAAAAGACCTGATACATAATCCATAAAATAAATGACAAGAAATACTGTTACTCTTTTAGAACAAAGGATTCTGAACCTGCACACCATAAACGGAGGCAACAGAGTTCAGATAAAAACAGGTTATATGAATAGGAGCTATTGTTGTGAAAGTGTCCAGTCAGTACTGAAGTAACTATGGGGGCTGAACGCAGTGGCACACACCTGTAATTCTAGCACTTTGGGAGGCCAAGGTGGGTAGAAGACCTGCAGTTAGGAGTTTGAGACCAGCCTGGCCAACAGGGTGAAATCCTGTCTCTATTAAAAATACAAAATTTTGGCTGGGTATGGTGGTGTATGCCTGTAGTCCCAGCTACTCAGGAGGCTCAGGTAGGAGAATTGCTTGAATCCTGGAGGCGTAGGTTGCAGTGAGCCAAGATTGTGCCACTGCACTCCAGCCTGGGTGACAGAGCAGGACTCTGTCTCAAAAACAAAACAAAACAAAAAAAAAGAAATAACTATGAGCGCCTCAGCTTTTACAGATATACTTGTACAAACAAAATTTCTAAACACACAGCACTACCTCGCAAACATCAAGGATAGCAATATGTTATTTGCTTGGGAATGACATCTGATCATCTAACTGTTACAGGATCCTTGGTGTGTTGCTTTTCTGGCTGGAAAGCTCTGTGGCCAGTGGTGCCTTTGCCTGAGTTTTGCTCAGGCCTGCTGGGCTTGTTCCGGCCACTCAGCCTGGCAGGCTGTGCTAGGCTTACACTACCAGCCTGGATCCCATGTCTGTCAAGGGTGAGCCAGGCATGGAGCAGCAAGGGGTGTGTGAGAAAGCAAGCGTGGGTTCCGGCCACTGCACACAGTCAGGCATGCTGGCTGCTGCAGTGAGGCAGGTAGCTCCAGGTGCCTGCACAGGCCCTGGCTCTCTGCCAGGCTGCAGCTGGACCAGGTGCACCGCAAGCAGCTTCCACAGCTGCCACCAGGGAATGTGGTGACATTCGGAAGCTTGGAGACTTCAGTAACCACAGGGCCCCAAAGAGGGAGTCACAGCCCTGGCTCAGGGAGCTCCCAAGCTTGGGTTCCCCAAAGGGCTGCAGCTCTTCTCTCCTTCTCTTCACTTGCAATGTGGCAAGCAAGGGGCATGTTTCAGCCTTGTTTGTGTCACAGCTCTTTCAGCCCTGCCATTTGGCAGGTCCCGAGTTCTTGTCCTGCATCCAGGAAGAATGAGGTATGCAGACAAGTGGAGGGTGAGCAAAGTGAAGAGGAGCTTTATGAGTGACGTAATAGAGGAGGGCCTGGGGTGGGTGGCTCCTCTCTACAGGCAGGTTGTCAAATCGAGTATTCAGCTCTCAGCAGAGAGGCGGCCCTGGAGTGAGCAGCTCCTCTCTACAGCTGGTCATCTCAGCGTCTGCAGGTCTCAGCAGAGAGGAGACCCTGGAGTGGGCAGCTCCTCTCTGCAGCTGGTCATCCCGATGTCTGCTCAGCTCTAGCTGATCCCAGGGCTTTTACAGGCCTCAGAGGAGGGGAAGCATGCACCGACTGGTGCATGGACAGCCATGGGCAGGCTGAGAAAAGGCACCCCAAGTTCCCACTACAGTCCATGGGACTGGTGGCCTGGCCCCCCAGCCTTCAGGCCCTTCCTAGCCTGAAGGTGGAACCTCATCGGGGACCTGGCCTCTTCTGCTCAGGAACGTGTTTGCCTCCTGCTATTCATGGTGCCCAAGCTGTAGGTTCCATGGGGTGTCTGCAGGCCAGCATTGAGCTGCACACATCCCCCATCAGCTTACTTCCTATGTTTGTCAGTGCCCAAAGTCCAGAGGGGGCCAAGGCGGCAGGGCACTGGTGTGTCAGCACTGCCCCGACTTTGCTCTGAGATTGGAGTGGGTGCTGACAGCAGGGAAAAGCCAGGCAGTAGGAGCAGGCATTTCCAGGGCTGTAAGGGAGGGGGGCCTTCCCAAGCACGAGGATGCCTGGGTCCGTAGCCACAACTCGGGTAGCTACAGCTGTGCCTGCAAGGGGGGAGCTCCTGCCTGCTCCATGGAGCAGAAGGCCCAGGTCTGCAGCCATAACTTGGGCAGCTGCACCTTGGGAGGCCCACCCCACCAACTCGGAAGGGGTGGGGCTCCCACTTGTCCCCGGCTCCTACAGGCTCCACGGAGTATGCAGCCCTGGCAGCACCACCCTGCTGCAGCCAGCATGATGGCAGCAGCCACTCCAGACAGGCCACTGATGCCATCATTTTCCTGGACAGCAAACGCTCCGAAAGCAGGCATAAGGTTTTTGTTTGTTTGTTTTTTTGAGACAGAGTTTTGCTCTTGTCGCCCAGGCTGGAGTCCAATGGTGAGATCTCAGCTCACTGCAACCTCTGCCTCCCATGTTCAAGCAATTCTCCTGCCTCAGCCTCCCGAGTAGCTGGCATTACAGGCACCCAGCCAATGTTTGTATTTTTAGTAGAGACGGGGTTTCACCACGTTGGCCAGGCTGGTCTCAAACTCCTGACGTCAGGTGATCCACCTGCCTTGGCCTCCCAAAGTGCTGGGATTACAAGTGTGAGCCATCGCGCTTGGCCAGCAGGCCTAATGTTCTTATCTCATCTTTATATTTCAAATCACAGAATATATTTAATACATGTTTGTGAAATAGACAATAATATTTCAAATTTGAGAAATAAAATAGGTTTTCAAAGCACAATCTCTTTTAAAATTCTTTAGGCCATGAAAGATTGCATTACTGCACTCCAGCCTGGGCAACAGAGCAAGATCTGTGAACTACAAATAGTTCACTTTAAAGATTTGACTCTACCTAGTCTCATCGATTACTCCTTGATACTCCAAGGCAGGATTATCTAAATGCTGAAGACTGCTAGTTGTATCCCAGAAAAAAGTAAGCACACATTCTAGCTACTATTTTCTAATATCCTTAAAAAAAAAAAAATCACGTGGAAAGTCATGGCTAAAAGCTTTCTTCACAGAGGTCATTCTCATAATAATGCTGAGAACTGAGCTCACAAATCCAATAAAACATCTGTGTGATTCTACGTGCATACCAAGTACATAATGTTTATTCAACGCATAAATGATTTAGTGGCTAAATGAAGAAAAAATGAAATGAAAAAGGAAAAAAAAAGGAAAAAGGAAGGAAAAATTATTTTATACAAAGAAACCCGGCTGGGCACAGTGGCTCGTGCCTGTAATCCCAGCACTTTGGGAGGCCGAGGTGGGTGGATCACCTGAGATTAAGAGTTTGAGACCAGTCTGGCTAACATGGTGAAACCTCGTCTCTACTAAAAATACAAAAATTAGCCAGGCATGGTGGCGGGTGCCTGTAATCCCAGCTACTTGGGAGGCTGAGGCAGAAGAATCACTTGAACCCAGGAGGCAGAGGTTGCAGTGAGCTGAGATCACACCATTGCACTCCAGCCTGGGCGACACAGTGAGACTCCATCTCAAAAAATAAATAAATAAATAAATAAATATTTATAGTAGGAGTGGGGACATTTTAAAAATCTCACCACTAATATTACAGATACAAGGCTAATTTCATGACCTAATCAAAATGCAAATCTAATACTAATTATCATAACATCAAAAGGTAAAATGACACATCCAATGAACCACTAGGTCAGAAATTTGACATCTTGTCTTCCTGTAATGAAATTCCCCATAATTGAACTAAGCCATACAATATTATTAACTGATTTCATTGTTAATTAATTATAAGTAAAATTTATATATAATCATGCATTTTTCACCTTCACTCATGTTTTCAACTATGAAAAATACGCCTTCATGGTAAATCTTACCTCATTGTATCTGTTGCTGGGAATTTTGATGCTAGTTTTCCGAACTTCCATATCAACCACCAAACCTTGAACTACTGGCAAGGTATACTGGTAATTTCTGAAGTCCTGGGCCAAAGCAGATTGAAGCAGAATAAATTAATTCATCAATGGTAGGGTTTAATTTATAGTAATAAAATTAACACGAATGGAAAAAATGTCAATATTGAAAGATCCTATTTATTTAAATAATAAGGAAATGTATAATGAAAGCCCCACTATATGTATTTTAGCTCTTTAGTCTTTAAACTCTTATAAGTAAACCAAACATTATCATATACCTCTTATACACAACATTAAAAAATATTTTTGAATGTCTACCCTGCTTTACCACCACTTAACATTTTCTGTATTTATTTGTTAACTATCTGTCTCCTCCCTCTGAAGCTCCAAGAGAGTACAAACTCTCAGTTGTGTTGTTCTTGCTATATCCTTAACGCCTGGAACATCTTAGGCACTCAATGAATATCTGTAAGGAAACACACACACACACTAACACATCATCTATCCAGTATGGGTGAAACAAAATGAACAAGAGTGGTGGACTCAAGGTCAAAGTAATAGCAAATGGCTAGATTTCATAGGTTCTTATAGGTCACCGTGAGGACTTTTGCCTTTAGGAGGCTTTTGACCTGTTTTAACAGATCTGACTCCTTGGTAATGAATAGGTGGTAAGGGAGGAAGAATGGAAGAAAAGATCAGATAAATACCATAAAAACAATCAAGGTAGGAGATAGTGAGAGCTTAGACCAGGATGTTAACAGTTTATTTATTTATTCTGAGATGGAGTCTCACTCTGTTGCCCGAGCTGGAGTGCAGTGGTGCCATCTTGGCTCAGTACAACCTCCGCCTCCAGGGTTCAAGCGAGTCTCATGCCTCAGCTTCCCAAGTAGCTGGGATTACATATGTGCGTCACCATGCTCGGCTAATTTTTGTATTTTTAGTAGAGACAAGGTTTCACCATGTTGGCCAGACTGGTCTTGAACTCCCAACCTCAGGTGATCCACCTGCCTCGGTCTCTCAAAGTGCTACAATTACAGTCGTGAGCCACTGCACCTGGCCAGGATGTTAACAGTTTAAAAAGTGATGAGAAGTTGTCAGTTTCTAGATATATAGATACAGATTTTTTTTTTTTTCCTGAGACAGAGTCTCGCTCTGTTAACCAGGCTGGAGTGCAGTGGCGCAATCTTGGCTCACTGAATCCTCTGCCTCCCAGGTTCAAGCAATTCTACTGCCTCAGCCTCCCAAGTAGCTGGGATTACAGGAATGCACCACCAGGCCCAGATAATTTTTGTATTTTTAGTAGAGATGGGGTTTTGCCATGTTGGCCAGGCTGGTCTCAAACTCCTGACCTCAGCTGATCCGCCCACCTTGGCCTCCCAAAATGCTGGGATTACAAGTGTGAGCCACTGCGCCCAGCCTGTTTCCAGACATATTTTAAAGGAAAATCTGATAATATTTGCCACTGTGGATGTGGAATGTGAACAAATGATAAAAGTTAAAGATGATTCTAAATTTTATAGCCAGGGCTACTAGAAGACTGGAACTGCCATTTACTGAAATGTAGAATATGATGTGAGATGGAGGGTTTTTCTAAGTAACTTGACTTCATTACTTGCAAAAAAAGCTCAAGAATATTGATAACCAGCACCCAACTGGTAAAATCAGAATGTCTGGCAACCAATAAAAAAATACCAAACATTCAAAGAAGCAGGAAAATACAACTCAAAATAAAGGAAAAAAAATCAATCCATGGAAACGGAGCCAGAACTTATACAAGAAGTTAGAATTACTAAAGGCATTACAATAGTTATTATATTGTATTCTACATGTACAAAATGTTAAGCAGAGACATAAAAGATCTTAAAAGACCCAAGTATAACTTCAAGAGATGAAAATCAAAGTATTTGATTGAGATTGTTTAAAAGATTGATAGAATTAACAGCAGCTTAAACCAAAATAAAAGATTAGTGAAATTGAGAGCACAGCAATAAAATTCATCCTAAATGAAAACAAGAGACAAAAAAGACTGAAAAAGAAATAAAAAGAACATTAGTAAGACGTGAAACAATTTCAAGCAGCCTGATATATATGTAATTGGAGTAATCTCCTTCAGGGAGAGAAGGGGATGAACAGAAAAAATATCAGATGAAAACTATAAACCCATAGATTCAAAAAGCTCAATGAACCCCAAGTACGGGAAACATGAAAACTACACTATGGCACATTATAATCAATTTGCTTCAAACTTGTAATTTTAAAAAGCTTTTGAAACTAGCCAGAGAAGGTCAGGCACAGTGGCTCATGCATGTAATCCCAATACTTTGGGAGGCTGAGGTGGAAGGATAGCTTGAGCCCAGGAGTTGGAGACCAGTCTGAGAAACACTGCGAGGCCTTGTCTGTATAAAAAATAAACAAAATTAGCTGGGCATAGCGGCACGTACCTGTAGTCCCAGCTACTTGGTAGGCCAAGGTCGGGGGGATCACCTGAGCCCTGTGGGTCAAGGGTGCAGTGAGCCGTGATTGTGCCACTGCACTCCAGCCTGGGCAACAGAGTGAGACCCTATTTCCAAAAAAAAAAAAAAAAAAAAAAAAAAAGATGGAAAAAGAAAAACAACGTTAAGAAAAGAAAAAATTGTTATGTAGAGAGGAACAAAGATGAGAGGGAAAACAATGCAAAGCAGAAGACAGTGGAGCAACATCTCAAAAACACTCAAAGAAGAAAACTCGGGCTGAGCATGGTGGCTCACACCTGTAATCCCAGCACTTTGGTAGGCCAGGGCAGGAGGATCCCTTGAGGTCAGGAGTTCAAGACCAGCCTGAGCAACATAGTGAAACCCTGTCTCTACTAAAAATACAAAAATTAGCTGGGCATGGTGGTGCATGCCTGTAATCCCAGCTACTCGGGAGGCTGAGGTGGGAGCATTGCTTGAGCCCGGGAGGTGGAAGTTGCAGTGAGCCGAGATTGTGCCACTGCACTACAACCTGGGTGAAAGAGTGAGACTCTGTCTCAAAAAAAAAAAAAACCAAAAAACCTAAACAACAAAACTCAACCTAGACTTCTCCAACCACCAAAAGTATCTTCCAAATATGAAGATCAAATAAAGATGTTGTTAGAAATACAAAAGCTAAAATAATTCATCAGCAGCAAACCTACACTGTAAGAAATATTACAGGCAATCATTTTGGCAGAAGGAAAATGACACCAGATGAAAATACAGAGTTATACAAAGGAATGAAAAACACTGGAAATGGCAACTAGATGGGTAAATCTACAAGATTTTTTTTCTTTTTCTTTTGAAACTGAGTCTTACTCTGTCGCCCAGGCTGGAATGCAGTGGCACGATCTTGGCTCACTGCAACCTCTGCCTCCCAGGTTCAAAAGATTCTCCTGGCTCAGCCTCCTGAGTAGCTGGCATTTACAGGCATGTGCCACCATGCCCAGCTAAGTTTTGTAGTTTTAGTAGAGACGGGGTTACACCATATCAGCCAGGCTGGTCTCAAACTCCTGACATCGTGATCCGCCTGCCTTGGCCTCCCAAAGTACTGAGATTACAGGCATGAGCCACTACGCCCAGCCAAGACTTTTTTTTCTTATTGTTCTCTCTAAACGACAGTGACATCAGCAAGATGGTTGACTGGAGTTGTCTGGCTCTTGCTCCCCTCTACTCAACAAAAGGGACCAAAACAACAATAAACAAACTATATTTCAACTGGAGTGGCTGTGGAAGTATGCTGGAGAGCACCAGGGGAGTGCTGAAATTCCTGTGGAGCACCAGATGCCCCAGATAGCACCACAGAGACGGGAGCGAAGCACTCTGCCTCTGCCGCACTGCCTCCCTGCAAGGAGTGGCCTGGAGTCAGGAAGGACTACTTCTAATGGGGAAAGGGTAAGCTGGGGACCCATGGTCCCCATGACCACTGCAGCCTCGTCCCGCGGTCCTCACAAACCCTGAATCCAGTTTGTAGTTGCCTGCAGTTCACAGGACTACACTGCTCCAGAGTTGGAGCCCATGTCATACAGCCCTCATTCCCAGTCATAGCATGGTGCCATCTTGAAACTGGACCCACTGCTAGAGTTCATCCTGCCTGGGGGCCAATTGCCACTGCATCTCTCCATCTCTGAAGCTCCACTGTCAGTCCACAACACACACATGTAGCTGTATCACCATCATCCAGCTGCTGAGAGCCTAGGCCCAACAGAATGAGGGAGCCCTGGCACTGAACTCACATGGCACCTCCCTGCCCCAGGGAACAGACAGACCTGTACAGTGGAGAAACCAACACACAGCTGGCTGGCCTGCTGTGCCCAGCTGGACAAGCAGCCCAGCACAATAAAGGCCATATGTGACAAACCCACAGCTAACATCATACTGAATGGGAACAGTGGAAATCTTTTCCTCAAAGAACAGGAACAAGACATGGATGCCCATTTTAATCCTTTCTATTCAACATAGTCCTAGCCAGAGCACTTAGGCAAGAGAAAGAAATAAAAGGCATCCAAACTGGAAAGTCAAATTGTGCTTGTTTGCAAATGACATGACCCTATACATAGAAAACCCTAAAGATGCCACCAAAAACCTGTTAGAGCTAATGAACAAATTCGGTAAAGTTGTAGGATACAAAATCAGCATGTAAAATCAGTAGTGTTTCTATACGCTAATAAAAAATAAAGAAAACAATTCCATTTACAGTAGCTATAAAAAAAATAAGATACCTAGGAATACACTTAGTTAAGAGGTAAAAGATCTTTACAAAGAAACCTCTAAAACATTGAAAAAGGGCCGGGCAAGGTGGCTCACGCCTGTAATCCCAGCACTTTAGGAGGCAGAGGCGGGCGGATCATGAGGTCAGGAGATCGAGACCATCCTGGCTAACACAGTGAAACCCCGTCTCTACTAAAAGTACAAAAAATTGGCCAGGCGTGGTGGCGGGCACCTGTAGTCCCAGCTACTCGGCAGGCTGAGGCAGGAGAAGGTGTGAACCCGGGAGGCGGAGCTTGCAGTGAGCCGAAATTGCGCCACTGCACTCCAGCCTGGGTAACAGAGCAAGACTCCGTCTCAAAAAAAAAAAAAAAAAAAAACATTGACAAAGGAAACTGATTCCATGTTCATGGATTGGAAGAATTAATACCGTGAAAATAGCCATACTACCCAAAGGTATCTACAGATTTAATGCAATCTCTATCAAAATGCCAATGATATTCTTCACAGAAACAGAAAAAAAAACCAAAACCTTAATATTCTTATAAAACCACAAAAGGCCTCAAATGGCCAAAACAGTCCTGAGCAAAAAGAACAAAGCTAGAGATATCACACTACCTGACCAAATATACTACAAAACTATAATAACCAAAACAGCATAGTAGTGGCCAAAACAAACACATACTCCAACAGTACAGAATAGAAGGCCCAGAAATGAATTTGGACACCTACAGCCAACTAATTTTCGACAAAGGTGCCAAGAACACACACTGCAGAAAGGACTCTCTTCAATAAATAGTACTTGGAAAAGTGGATATATCCACATGCAGAAGAATGAAACTAGACCCCCACCTCTCCCCATATACAAAAATCAACTAAAAACGGATTAAAGACTTAAATTTAAACCCAAAACTATGAAACTATTAGAAGAAAACAGGGCAAATGCTTCACAATATTGGGCTAGGCAATGAATTTTTAGATAAGATCCCAAAAGCACAGGCAATAAAAGCAAAAATAGACAAATGGAATTACATCAAACTAAAAAGATTTTGCACAGAAAAGGAAACTATTAACAGAGTGAAGACACAACCTACAGAAATGGAAAATATCTGCAAACCATACATCTGAAAAGGAGTTAATATCCAGAATATATAACAAATTTAACCTAGCAGCAAAAAGACAACCCAATTAAAAAACAGGCAAAAGGCACTTTGGGAGGCTGAGGTGGGTGGATCACTCGAGGTCATGAGTTTGAGACCAGCCTGGCCAACATGCGCCTCTACTAAAAATACAAAAACTAGCTGGGCATGGTGTTTCGTGCCTGTAATTCCAGCTACTGGGGAGGCTGAGGCACAAGAATTGCTTGAACCCAGGAGATGGAGGTTGCAGTGAGCCGAGATCGTGCCACTGCACTCCAGCCCAGGCGACAGTGCGAGACTCTGTCCCAAAAAACAAAACAAAACAAAATTTTTTAAAGAAATAAAAAAAAAAAGATAACTGGAAATATAGCTTTTAAGCATCACAGAGGGAGGAAATCACCAAACCCACTCCTCAAAAAGCAACCGAAAAGCTGTATAAGTGGCTTAAAAAGAACCATTTCAGTGCTCTGGAATTAGATCAAAGGCATATTAACATTAAGAAGTGTTTTGGCTGGGCATGGTGGCTCATGCCTGTAATCCCAGCACTTTAGGAGGTTGAGATGGGTGGATCACCTGAGGTCAGGAGTTTGAGACCAGCCTGGCCAACAAGGTAAAACCCTGTCTCTATGAAAAATACAAAAAATTAGCCAGGCGTGGTGGCAGGTGCCTGTAATCCCAGCTGCTCTGAAGGCTGAAGCAGGAGACTCTCTTGAACCTGGGAGGCAGAGGTTGCAGTAAGATTGTGCCACTGCACTCCAGCCTGGACAACAGAGCGAGACTCCATCTCCAAAAAAAAAAAAAAAAAGAAATGTTTTTTTCATGAAAACTACTGAACTTTGAATTGAGTCTGTGACCTTCTTGCCTGGGGCTGCCCCCTAGCCCCATTAGGTAGTTAGGTAGTTCAACCAGGGCAAGGTAGTTTGTAAAAACAATGAGCTTTGCAGCTGGGAGCAGTGGCTCATGCCTGTAATACCAGCACTTTGGGAGGCTGAGGCAGGTGAATCATTGAGGCCAGGAGTTTGAGATCAGTCTGGCCAACATAGCAAAACGCTCTCTCTACAAAAAATACAAAAATTAGCTGGGTGTGGTAGTGTGCTCCCATAGTCACAGCTGCTCAGGAGGCTCAGGCACGAGAATTGCTCGGAGGTGGAGGTTGCAATGAGCTGAGATCGTGCCACTGCATTCCAACTTGGGCGATAGAGACTCTGTCTCAAACAAAATAAAACAAAACAAACAAAAAAATGAGCTTTGCTACTTGAAGGAGTTTACTTGCTATGGAACATTGTCAAAGTGGTAATCTCGGTGGTTATTAAAAAGGGAGGCCCAGTAGCTTGATTACCTTGATTTCACCAAACCTGTTTGGGGCAAGTTCTGGGAGGTAAGACAACCATAGGGAGCTTCATAAACGGTCCAAATATCCAGGATTGATCCTAGTCTGTGCATATATGCAGCAGAGAACTTAGTGGACTCAAGCCAACCAATGATCTTGGCCAACAGAGTCAGAACCTGTGCACGTGTGTAGGAGACATGAGAGAGCCCAGAAGAAAGGAAAACAATGAAGTTTAAATTCCAGTCCATATTCAGATCCATCAGCAGAGGGCAGTAGCCTTACTGGCTTGGGGTATCTGGGTACAATCTCTGACCAATCTTTGCTTGGATAATAACCTATATAGACACAAGAGAAACTCATAGAATGCCAGTCTTAAAATAAAAACAAGACAGAATGCTAGGTGTTTTATTTATGTATTACTTCTAGTCCTCACAATAATTCTGCAAGGTTGGACGGTAAGTGTATAATCAGGCGCTGGAATCCTGTACCATTTCACTTCATGTTTGCAAAAGAATATATATATGTGTGTGTGTGTGTGTGTATACATATGAATATATATGTATATGTGTGTGTGTGTATATATATATATACACATACATATACTGTTCTTTTTCTTCAGCATATATCTTTACCTGCCTTAAGCAGCTTGGGCACAGCTACCAAGAAAATAATAAAATTGCTTTCTTCCTTCTCCCATATAAACTCCAGTAAGGACAAAGGAAAAAAAATTCCCAACTTACTGCAAGAAGATTCATGATGGTATGCCCCGTCTCTCCAAACAATGGCTTCCGAAATCTGACACTGAATAGTGGGCATGGATAAACTATGGAAATGAGAAATGATCAAACTTAAATTTGGCAACATAAAACTTTGGTAAAAGAGATTTCATGACTAATACAATTTTCAAAATATAATTATAATGGCTCATTAGAACATATCAAATTTTGGGCTCAAAAAGTATTTGGCATGGTAGCAGACAAATGCTGAGCCATATTAAGTCTTCTGATAACCAGAATAAGCCTTTCGATGTAAATGTTTCAAAAATGACACACAATAGCCAGGCATAGTGGCTCATGCTTGTAATCCCAGCACTTTGGGAGGCTGAGGCAGAAGGATCACCTGAGCCTAGGAGTTTGAGACCAGCCTGTGCAACCTAGGGAGACCCTGTCTCTACAAAAAAACAAACAAAAAAATTAGCTGGGTGTGGTAGCATGCACCTGTAGTCCCATCTACTTGGGAGGCTGAGAGGTAGAAGGATGGCTTGAGCCCAGGTGACAGAATGGGTGACAGAGTGGGCTGGAGCCCACTCCAGCCTTGGTGACAGAATGAGACCCTGTCTCCAAAACAAACAAACAAACAAACAAACAAACAAACAAACCCACAAGGTCTTAGGGAGCAATCTTCTTCAAACTGAATTGATACGATCCAGGAAATAAATATCTCCTGATTCCTCTGTGCTCAATAAGTTTAAGAGTTCACTTTTTCTTTTTCCAACAAGTTTAAGAGTTCACTCTTTTTTTTTTGAGACACAGTCTCACTCTGTCACCCAGGCTGGAGTGCAGTGGCATGATCTCCTGCCTTAGGAGGGTTCAAGCGATTCTCCTGCCTCAGCCTCTCCAGTAGCTGGAATTACAGGCATGCGCCACCATACCCAGCTAATTTTTTTGTATTTTTAGTAGAGATGGGATTCACCATGTTGGCCAGGCTGGTCTTGAACTCTTGACCTCAAATGATCTGCCTGCCTTGGCCACCTCTCAAAAGTGCTGGAATTAGAGGCATGAGCCACCGCACTCAGCCAAGAGTTCATTCTTCTATACCTCCTAACCAGGATCCTCCTTAGGAGAGGCAAATCAGTCTGGCTCATCTCTTGAATTTTATGGTTTGAAATGCCTGTATAAAATAGGAAGATACACATGTTGCTTCTTTTGCACACAATCCTTCCCTTTCCCTGATTCATTTAGCTGATTCATATGCCTCCTTCAGAGTTAATCCAGAGGCACTCTGGTCCAAGAAAACTGAAGGTCCAACTACTCCTTCATTCCTGGTCTGGTCAAGTTAGAGCCTGTCTTGGAGCTCCCAATGAACTTAACTTTGAGCACAGGTTTTAATACAAGATACCACTACAATCATTATTTCTGTATGTATTCCTTATAAAAGTTCCCGAGAGCCTATAATCACATCTTAGCTATTTCAGAATTCCCAGGATTCAGGATATATGGGAGGCCTTTATTAAATTCTTACTGAATAAATAAATAATTGGTGGAAGAATGAAGTTGACTTGCTGAGAACATAAACTGTTTTATGGTTTATAAAATTATGTTTCATTTATTCTCTCATTTGATCCTGTTAACAACCCAATATAAAATAGAAGGCAAGCATTATTATTTCCAGTTTACAAAAGAAACACAATCAGAGAACTTGGGTGACTTGCCCAAAGTTACAGAGCTCATAAGTGGCAGAGTTGAGAATCTTACTCAAGTGGTCGGATTCCTAGCACAGGGCACTTTTAATTAGATGGAGATATAAAATTTAAAATAAAGTTTGCATTTAACCATTAATGTCTTTTTAAAAATCACATCTTAGTTACGCTGCTAAAGCCATGAGCAAGGAAGCTCCTTCTTCTGTAGCCTGTATCTTACCAACTGAGAGTGGTTTCCATTCCACTAGCTTCCAGTATGTTAAGTAAAATATAATTGATCGTAACTGTTTTCCAACCAAGTGACAAAGAATATGCTCATCATATACAGAAACTATAAAAAATAAAGTTACTTAAGTTCAAATTCACTTTTCTAAAGATGATCGTGTTTTTTATCAATGAACTATAAAAGCAGTAAGTTTACAAGGTAATACATAATCAACTTCCTCATTCGTTATTTTCAGTGCTTCCCATTATGCCCAATACACGCAGACACTGGCCAAATTTAGTTTAGCTATTTCAAAAGACTATTTCTGCTGAATTATATCACCAAACAGAGGGCTCTGAATATTTCAGGCATTATTTTAGTCATCATGCCTTGAAAAACGTGTTTTTACTACTTACGTCGATATTCAGCTCCAAGTCTCAACATCAGACGGATAGGAAATACTTTAGCCCAAGGAGTTTCCCATTTCTGGATAAGAATCCCAAACAAGTAAGGTGGGGTTGGGAGTACTAGGTCTTGCAGTGACTGGTAGGTAGATGTCACATATAAGAATCCACCATGTTCTTTACTGCCAAGGAAACTTTGACTGAAGAAGGAATGTCCCAAGTTGCTCACCACATTCCCTAAAAACAAAAAAGTTTATTAGCTACTTTGTATCAATAAATTAATCATATTTCTTTTTTTTTTTTTTTTTTTTTTGAGACGGAGTCTGGCTGTTGCCCAGGCTGGAGTGCAGTGGCGCAATCTTGGCTCACTGCAAGCTCCGCCTCCCAGGTTCACCCCATTCTCCTGCCTCAGCCTCCTGAGTAGGTGGGACTACAGGTGCCCGCCACCAGACCTGGCTAACTTTTTTGTATTTTTAGTGGAGACGGGGTTTCACCGTGTTAGCCAGGATGGTCTCCATCTCCTGACCTCATGATCCACCTGCCTCAGCCTCCCAAAGTGCTGGGATTACAGGCATGAGCCACAGCGCCCGGCCAATTAATCATATTTTTAATAAACATTATGCAACTCTGGGCTGGATGGACACTACCAAACAGTAATTCCCAATCTTTCACTATGAAAGACTTACATTTAAAAAGCTGATTTTTAAATAAATGGCATTTATTAAATGAAAATTTGGTTTCCAATTTTATCAGGGCTTCTAATGAGCATAAACTAAGTTATATTATCACATTGTTGAAGTTTGTCTAAGTAAAAGCCAAAAATATTGATGCCTTCCTTGGTTAAACTGTACAGCTTTACTGTATGAATTGCTTTAGAGGTCTCAAGAACTATCACCTCAAAGGTCATAAAGAAATGTTCAAGGCCGGGTGCGGTGGCTCACACCTGTAATCCCAGCACTTTGGGAGGCCGAGGTGGGTGGATCACAAGGTCAGAGTTCGAGACCAGCCTGACCAACATGGTAAAACCCCATCTCTACTAAAAATACAAAAATTAGCCAGGCGTAGTGGTGTGCGCCTGTAATCCCAGCTACTCAGGAGGCTGAGGCAGGAGAATTGCTCGAACCTGGGAGGCGGAGGTTGCAGTGAGCCAAGATTGTGCCACTGCGCTCCAGCCTAGGCGATAGAGTGACACTGTCTCAAAAAAAAAAAAAAAAAAAAAAGAAATGTTCAGATTAGGAAGCTGCTGTCACCAAGCTTATAATTTCACTGGGTGAACAAAGTCAACTCATGAACATAATGAATTATGGTAATAAGTACAGTTATAAGACATTAAGGGAAGATGAGGATTTATGAAGATGGTACCACAGACAAGTTGTTTTTTTCTCGTTTTGTTTTTTTTTTTTTTTTGAGATGGAGTCTTGCTCTGCCACCCAGGCTGGAGTGCAGTGGTGTGATCTTGGCTCAATGCAGCATCTGCCTCCCAGGTTCAAGCAATTCCTCTCACCTCAGCCTCCTGAATAGCTACAATTACAAACATGCACCACCACACTCAGCTGATTTTTTTCGCATTTTTAGTAGAAACAGAGTTTCACCATGTTGGCCAGACTGGTCTCAAATTCCTGACTTCAAATGATCCATCTGCCTTGGCCTCCCAAAGTGCTGGGATTACAGGCGCGAGCCACCGTGCTTGGACAGGATTTATTGTTTATAATTTTTTGAGACAAATATGAAACATAGCTCTATAATTTAGGGCTTATCTAAATTCATATTAAGCAGGTTTCTCTTTTTTTTTTTTTTTTTTTTTGAGACAGAGTCTCGCTCTGTTACCCACCCTGGAACCCTGGAGTGCTGTGGTGTGATCTCAGCTCACTGCAACCTCTCCTTCCCGGGTTCAAACAATTCTCCTGCCTCAGCCTCCCGAGTAGCTGGGACTATAGGCACCCACCACCACGCCTGGCTAATTTTTGTATTTTTAGTAGAGATGTGGTTTTACCATATTGGCCAGGCTGGTCTCGAACTCCTGACCTCAAGTAATCCACCCGCCTTGGCCTCCCAAAGTGTTGGGATTACAGGTGTGAGCATGTAATTCATGTACACCATGCCTGGCCAAAGCATTTTATAATTCAAAATACTTTTGTGAATGAAACAGTAACAAACATATCAACCCTTCATTAAGGAGACATTTTCCTCAGTTTAGAATTGCAAAAGGACTTTCTGACAAGAGCTGCTCAATGATGGAACAACGAATGTGTTCACTAGCCAAGTACGAGCTTCCTTTGATACCTTTGAAAGCAATAACACCCAATGAAGCAATCTCCATCAGAGAAATTTATGCTTACTTTTCTTGAAAACTAGAGTTTATTCTTATAATGGTTATGGGTCTTTGCATCCTTGATTTTAGCGGACAGGTATCCTGACAGTAGCAGCCACAAGTGAAGGGAATACCTCCCCTTTAAACTCAGAGAAGCTTTGTGGCTGAAAGTCATGTTCACCTAAACATTATCATCTATATTTTGCATTTAAGGTAGTACATTTAGGAATTTAGGGGTAGTACTCTTGCTCCAGGATTACCCAGGTCTGGCTGCACAATTAAGCTGCTAGGCCAGATCTATGAAAACAAAACAATTGTCATATCAACGTAGCAGTATGGCATTTTGAAAAATAAATTGCAGATTTTGGAGTCCCAGAGATATGGGTTTGAATGCTAGTTTGATCATTCACTGTTGTGGGATCTGGGGCAAGTTACTTCTCTGAGCCTCAATGTCCATGTAAAATGGGAGGAGAAACTATATTAAATTCCAGATGTGTTATAAAGAATAAATGAAAGGAAATCTATAAAATGCCTAACAGGACCAGCAACACTGTATTCTCAAAAAATTATAACTATTATTATTCTAATGCAAATATACATATATTGATCAGCCAAATATATGATTTTTGGGGGGACTTTCAATGATTTTAGAGTAAGATTTAAGTAAATTTACATTTTTTCTGGCAGCCACTGCAGGATCAGGGATAGAGTGTCAGGAACTTTAGGGAGATAAGATCCCCAAATTTACCATTGCTTCTTTACCACCTCCCTAGATCCTGGAATTCTAGGATACAATATAAGAGACACTTCATACAAAATTCAACAGATAATTTGTCAAAGAGAAAAAAATTTTTTTTCATCTCTTTATCTAGCTTTGGTGAATAAGGAGGAGAATAGGGAATTAAAGAGATGCTTTCCCTCTACAATGTAGGGTGCATGACAGCATTCCTGTAACTCTATCAACAGCATGCTGTGGTTTGAATATATCCCTCAAAAAGCATGTGTTGGAAACTTGGTGCTAGGAGGCAAGGCCTCATGAGAGGTGACTGGATTAATGCTGTTATCCTGGGAGTGGGTTTGTTATGAAAGGACAAGTTTGCCCTCCCTTATACACATGCCCTCACGCACATGCACATTCTTTCTCTCTCTTCCCCACCCCATTTGCCCTTCTGCCATGGGATGATGCAGCAAAAAGGTCCTCACCAGATGCCTACCCCTCAATCTTGGACTTTGCAGCCATGAGAACTACAGGAAATACATTTCTGTTCATCACCTATTATCCAGTCTGTGGTATTCCATTATAGCAGCAAAAATAGACTAAGACACAGTGTAATGTTTATATTTCACAAAGACTGTCCTAGTAAATATAGCTTAGAGGTGAAAAATATGTTGGCTTAGTACTCAAGGTATTCACTCATTATTCCTTTGCGATTTCCCTATTAGAGCCTAGAATCTATTGGTAGTTATTTTCCACAGATACTGATTTCCTTTCTGCCTCTTCCATTTAACACTCTCTTCATCCCAATCACAGATTCTTCACGAAGTCCACTCTCATTATAAAATATATCTTTTATCCTTTAAATATTAATCACTTTAAAAAATGTAGATTACCAATAATAACTGAATTAGACTATCATGTACCATCTCATCTACAAACAAGTAACACTGCACAGGTGTAGATATTGGCAAAAATAAAACAGTGGGTATAAGAATTTGACAAAGAAAGAAAGGCTTTCATCTGAAGACCTAATCTGAAGCTCTTGAATTCATAAAGTCTGTAATGTACTAATTTATATAGGTACTTCTCAACGACTGCACTCAATGTAATGAATCCACAGAACTAATTTTATATATACCCCAATACTAGTGAAGAACCCATATAACCAAAATAGATACCAAATCTTGCTTCTAAGTGACCTGTCAAAGGTGTTAAATGCTTTATATCAATGGTTTATAAAGTAATTTTACATAACATTAATGAGGTAATCATCAGATCAGTGCTAGTAGGTAAGCAGAACGGTACCATTTCCCTGAAATTTGGGGTTTTATTTGACAAATGAAGAAACTGAAGCTTAGAGGTAGAGGTGAAGTAACTCTGAAAAGACGAGGTAAATAAGTGGCAAAGTAAAACCTAGAAAGCAGAAAGCAGATCTTTCAATCTCCTAGTCTTTGTATGTCACGCAGCCTTTCAAAAAATATACAGATACAGTAATTTACAATTTTCCATCTTTAATTTGGAATTTAAACTGTTTTTCAAATGCTTATAAGTAGCCAGCCATCTTTAAATTCAATTCAAATATAACTTAAATATCTATGTGTCAATAGCTTCCTTTTGTTTCAAAGTATATTTATTAATCCTCACATCAACTCAAGTGGAACCATTTCCAAGCAAATGGTTCATTCATTTCAAGAAATACTAATATTTCTTTTTCTTTTTTTTTTTTTTTTTTTTTGAGACAGAGTCTCGCTCTGTCACCCAGGCTGGAGTACAGTGGCGTGATCCCAGCTCACTGAAACCTCCGCCTCCCGGGTTCAATTGATTCTCCCGCCTGAGCTTCCCAAGTAGTTGGGACTACAGGCGCTCACCACCATGCCTAGCTAATTTTTGTATTTTTAGCAGAGACAGGGTTTAGCCATTGTTGGCCAAGCTGGTCTCAAACTCACGACCTCAAGTGATCTGCCTGCCTGCCTCGGCTTCCCAAAGTGTTGGGATTACAGGCGTGACCCACCGCACCCGGCCAATAAATAAATTTCTAAGTGGTAATATGACTAAAACTCAAGCCATCAAAAGAATTTAGAAAGCTTCTTGGAGTTCTTTGTAATGCAGCAAACTGCAGTTATGCATGACTACTTCATAAAAGGTCATGTCCTCAGTTTAGTGTATCTCTGACATTGATCATGAAAGCTCAAGAGGAGCCAGGTCAGGTGACTCATGCCTGTAATCCCAGCCCCTTGGGAGGCTGAGGAGGAAGGATCACTTGGGCCCAAGGAGATCAAGGCTGCAGTGAGTGTGCTATGATGGCACCACTGCTACACAGCCTGGGTGACAGAGCAAGACTTCTATCTCTTAAACAAACAGCTCAAGAGACACTATAGTACTTCTTATGGTTCGAAACATGAGATTTACGGACAACATAGGTGAATTTAAACCTGGGTTCAGCCACTTATCACCTAACTGTGTGATCTTAAGTTACTTAGGCCTTTGGTGTCTTTCATTTTCCTCATGTGTAAATAGAAACAGTAACAGTATGAATCTGAGTTGTACTTAAGAAGAAATAAAATAGTGTACATAAGGCAATGAATATACTGCTTAGCATATATTAAGTGTTCAAAAAATGTTAGGTATTTTGTCTTAAATCACTTCTTCATAAATAGTTCCATATAACTTTCTCATCAGTTGAAAAGTTACTTTGCAAAACTACAATACCATAATTCTAATAAATTTACCAAAAGGTTCAGAATTTGAAAAATAAAATAAAAACATGAACCATGACATATTATTATTATTTTTAAAGATAGGGTCTCACTGTGTCACTCAAGCTGTAATGCAGTGGTGCACTCATAGCTCACTACGGCCTCAAAAACTCCTGGGCTCAAGGACTCCTCCCACCTCAGCCTCCCAAGTAGCTGGGATTACAGGGATGTGCCATTAGGCCTAGTTAATTTTTTTTTTTTTTTTTTTGGTACAGATAGGGTCTCATTATGTTGACCAGGCTAGTCTCAAAGTCCTGGCCTCAAGCAATCCTCCTGCCTCAGCTTCCCAAAGAGAGAGCAAGAAGGGAATGAACCCCCTCCTTTTATAACAGCACTAATCCCATCCATGAGGGTGAAGCCCTCATGGCCTAATCACCTCTTAAAGGTCCCACCTCCTAATATTGTTCTAATGGCAATTAAAGTTCAACATGAGTTTCAGAGTGGACAAACATTGAAACCATAACAACACCAAACACTTTCTTAATAAAAGATTAGACTGCATGGTGGCTCACACCTATAATCCCAGCATTTTGGGTGGCCCAGGCGGGTGGATCACCTGAGGTTGGGAGTTCAAGACCAGCCTGGCTAACATGGTGAAACCTCGTCTCTACTAAAAACACAAAAATTATTCCAAGTGTGGTGGCAGGTGCCTGTAGTCCCAGTTACTTGGGAGCTACTTGGGAGCTAATTGGGAGGCTGAGGCAGGAGAATCACTTGAACCCGGGAGGCAGAGGTTGCAGGGTGCCAAGATCGCAACACTGCACTCCGGCCCGGGCGACACAGCGAGACTCTGCCTCAAAATAAATAAATTAATTAAATTAAAAATAAAAGATTAAGGGAGTTCAGAAGAGACTACTTCTGTCTGGGAGGGTCATCAAGAAAGAATTCATGGAGAAAGTGGTCTTTAAGATTTAGGACAACTGATAGGATTGAGACAGTTGGGGTGTGGGGAAATAGCACGGTTGGGAGTAGCATAATCATGGGTAATGAAATGGAAAATCATCAGAATATACACAAAATGAACCAATAAATGTTTTGTTTGGCTACAATGGAAGTATGGAGAGATGACTAGCAGGAGATGAGACTAAAAATATAGGAACAGATCATGCAGAATACTGAATGTTGGAGCACAGTTTATTCTAAAGGCAATACAAAGCCAAAGTAGCTTTTGAGTAAGATAGGGAAACAACCAGAGATTAACTCCAGAAATAACAATCTGGTAGATACAAGTCCAATTTCATTCAAGTCTATGTTCTGAATAGATTGTTTGCAAAAAAACAGGTACAAAATATGGAGGAATGAATAGGAGACAGGGAGAAACAATATATAGTCTACAACCTCCGATGGCACTGTCATAACCAGAAGGCATTCTGAAACTCTCAGAACATAATTTCTCACAAATTATAATGTTTCCCTCCACTGCAGAATGCAAAAACTGTGTATGACAAAAAAGTGTGTGTGTATATATATGTGAAACACAGATACACACACATATATAGATATACAACACACATATGGTT
This sequence comes from Homo sapiens, assembly GCF_000001405.40. Taxonomy (NCBI): domain Eukaryota; kingdom Metazoa; phylum Chordata; class Mammalia; order Primates; family Hominidae; genus Homo; species Homo sapiens. The sequence goes on along the minus strand of NC_000001.11, from coordinate 52,286,384 downwards.
ATTAAATACCTGTAGTTTAGATTTTAAAATTCACAGGAAGTTATAAAAAAGTTCATTCAATAGCTCCTAAGGCTTTTCTGTGATTTAGGGCAGAATAACCCTAAGCTAGTAATACAGTATTCAAGGTTTCACACTCAGGAGAAATTTAAGATACAATTTGTCAATTTCACTCAATGTGCTACACAGAAGAGAAAAATAATAAATTGCGATACGTTTTTTTTTTTTTTTGAGACAGAGTCTCATTCTTGTTGCCCAAGCTGGAGTGCAATGGCACGATCTTGGCTCACTGCAACCTCTGCCTCCAGGGTTCAAGCAATTCTCCTGCCTCAGCCTCCCAAGTAGCTGGGATGACAGGCGCCCACCATCACACCCGGCTAATTTTTTGTATTTTTAGTAGAGATGGGGTTTCACCATGTTGGCCAGGATGGTCTTGAACTCCTGAGCTAAGGTGATCCACCCGGCTTGGCCTGCCAAAGTGCTGGGATTACAGGCATGAGCCACCGTGCCCAGCCTGCTATCATTTTAGAACAGTAGCCTCCAACCTTTTTGGCACCAGGGATGGGTTTTGTGGAAGACAATTTTTCCACGGACTGTGGGGAAGGGGAGACGGTTTCAGGATGATTCAAGCGCATTAAATTTATTGTGCACCTTATTTCTATTATTACATTGTAATATGTCATGAAATAATTATACAACTCACCATAATGTAGAATCAGTGGGATCCCTGAGCTTGTTTTCCTGCAACTAGACTGTCCCATCTGGGGGTGATGGGAGACAGTGACAGATTATCAGGCATTAGATTCTCATAAGGAGCACACAACCTAGATCCCTCACACGCGCAGTTCACAACAGGGTTCGCACTTCTATGAGAATCTAATACCGCTGCTGATCTGAGAGGAGGCAGAGCTCAGGCGCTAACGTGAGCAATGGGGAGCAGCTGTAAATACAGATGAAGCTTTACTTGCTTGCCTGCCCCTCACCTCTGCTGTGTGGCCTGGTTCCTAACAGGCCACGGACCAATACCAGTCCATGGCCTGTGGGTTGGGGACCCCGTTTTAGAACACCCAAAATATGCTTTTACTTATTAAAAAATTTATAGTGAAATATATCAAGCTATTACCCTGATTATCTAAAAATAAGGTTCTTAATAAATATGTATAGTATATAGATAATATATCTGTGTTTTTAAGAACTGATATATTATTAATGGTACACAGAGGCAACTGACATAATGTAAACAATACTGATCTGGGAGCTACAGTCCCAATTCTGCCACCAACTTGGTCTGTGATTTAGGTACGCCATTAACACTTCTAGGTCTGATTTTCCTTATCTAAAAAATGAAGAGTTTGTATTAAATTATCTAAAATGCCTTCTAGTCCCAATATTTGATGAGTTGTGAAATGATTCCTATTCAAGGAAAAACTCTTTCGTCTCACTTATGCTTTTGAAATGTTATTTCCTTAGATATACATATATATGTTCGTGTCCCTATCCTACATTATAGAAAATATTTTTAGTTGGCTTAGATGTATTATAGTCTGACCTTAGACTATCATTAGTATCTTGTAATCAGTTCCAAGTATTTTTGTTGTTTCAAAATTTTTGCAATAGTTCAAAATGGACTGAACTGACATATAAGTATCCTTTTTAAAAAAATAACCATTGCTGGGCGCGGTGGCTCACGCCTGTAATCCCAGCACTTTCGGAGGCCGAGGCGGGCGGATCACGAAGTCAGGAAATCAAGATCAGCCTGGCTAACACGGTGAAACCCCGTCTCTACTAAAAATACAAAAAATTAGCCAGGCGTGGTGGCGGGCGCCTGTAGTCCCAGCTACTTGGGAGGCTGGGGCAGGAGAATGGCGTGAACCTGGGAGGTGGAGCTTGCAGTGAGCTGAGATAGCGCCACTGCACTCCAGGCTGGGTGACAGAGCGAGACTCCATCTCAAAAAAAAAAAAAATTTATGCTAAACATATTTTAATAATTCATGCAATAATTCACATCCTCTCCTTGAGAGGATGTCTATCTCTCAGGATTCCATCTACAGCCGTAGTCTCTTCACACAGGCCTATCCCATTCACAACGATACTCTCAACTATCACAGGAAAGCTGTGTCTCCAAAATCTGTATTTTAACTCAGATCTATCTTCTGGGATCCATACCCATATAATCATCTGCCATTTTCATGTTTCATCTGATGTCATTATTTCAAATTCAGCACACTGAACAAAGAATTCCCTTACCTCTGCCAAATCTGTTATTCATCAAGATGGTGAATAGAAGAAGACCAACATACACTTAGGTGCTCAAGCGAGGAATCTGAGGCCAACCTTGACTTGTCCCCTCTAACCCCCTATATCCAGTTAGTTACCAAATCCTACTGAATTGAAGCACCACATCTTTCGTATCTCTCCAATACTCTTCTTTATTTCCACTGCAATTATTTAATTTAAATCCTGATAATTTCTTAATTTCTTGCTGGATTCCTGCAATATCTTTTTAAAAAATAAATTTTACTGAGGTATAATCTATATATTATAAAAATGATAGATTTTAAGTGTACATTTCAATGAGTTTTGGCAAACACCCACATAACCACTATCCTAATCCAGATATAGACCTCTCATCTCAGAAAGTTTTCTGGGACTCTCTGTAGTCAGTTCTAGCACCTGCACCCCCACCTCACTTTAGGCAAACACTGACCTAATTTCTATCACCAAAGATTAATTTTGCCTGTTTTAGAAAACCATATAAATGGAATCATCCAATATGTACTTTTTTGTGCCTGGCTTTTGCTCAGCATAATGTCTGTGAGATTCATGCATGTTGTTGTGTACATCAGCAGTTAGTTCATTTTTACTGTTGAGCAGTATTCTAGTGTATGAATATACATTTGCTTATCCTGAAATTGCTTCTTAACTGCCACCAGACTCACGGACTTTGATCCATTTTTCACACTGCTTCCAGAGTCATCTTTCTAAAATGCAAATCTGATTATGTCACTCATCATCTCAAATACTTTCAATGGTTCTTCATTGCCTACAGAATAAAGCATGGGCTCCTAAATAAGACATTCATGAACCTCCCATACCCTAGTCTCTAACACACTCTCAAAACCCACATGAATCTACAATTACTTGAACCTCCAATGCCATTTTTCTAGAGTGTTTAAAAGTGAATACATTCAGATTGAGGAGAAAAGTGAAAGTTCCCAGTTATTTCCAGGACTAAATTCAGCTCCAGGGTATTATGTGGCCTGGAGGACCTGGATGATTTCAGATTTAACCCTATACATTTTGGAACAGACAGGGTAAACATTAAAAGGTACTTCACAGGTATCATGTGGTCAGTTTCCAATGTATCACCTTGCCCTTATGTAATGCTACACCTAAATTATTGTAGAGACTAATGAAGACATAAAGGCACAATCTTTTACGCATAATCTACATCACATTAAAAATACAATTATATATCCTGCTTCTGTAATTATTTAAAGAGCATTTTCCATGTTACTACATTCTTTTCATAAATATTGTTTTAATGGCCAAAAAAAGTTCTCAAAAAGATCCTCACATCTAATAAGTATAACACAGTTAAACTTTCCACCTATAGCTAAGGCATTCAGGTTGCTTCTGAATTTTTGTGTTAAATTTAGGTAATGTTGCAATAAACCCTTTCATTCACAGAAGTGCATTTTATATTCTGGATACTGTCTTTGGCACAGAATCCCACAATGAAAATTATTGCATTAAGAAAGTCTGAATAATTTATTGTTTTAATATATGTATGAAATATTATCAAATAATACATGAAAATAGTTTTAATACCCCGGTCACCCTCACACCCTCTCCAGGCCTTCTTCCTCAAAGATAAACCCTATTTATCAAATACAGATATTATGTACTGACTTCCTGTTACAATAAACGAGAATAGTTCAATTACACCGTTTTTCTACCTCATTTGTTAAATCAAAGGGAGGCTGACTTTGTAATGTCAAATAACACAATGTCATAATAAATAACTATAATGTCAAATAATGTGTTTCTTTTCTCTCAATCTTAGTTTCTTTTTATGTTAATATCCTTAGTCTTTCCCAGCTTCTAACCTCTATGCTTTTACTTTTAAGTTGTTACAGTTAATATTTACAATTTATTTTGAAGCCATAGTCATGTATGCTAATTGTTTTTGAAATTTGAATATTCATTAGCATTTACACTATGATTAAATAAATATTGTTAACCAAAGAAACAAGAAGTAAGTTACAAATATGCTTCCTTCTACCAGGTACCAATATCCTGACCCCAGGCCACTAAAAAGAAAATATTCTTACATTTAGGTCACCAGATTCTCTTACAGCTTTGATTCCAGCCTCTGTAAAATAAAAACTATACCAGGTACAATACTAAAATTTATAATTTCTTCAAACCATGGAAAGCTTCAACTTGCCACTAATATCAAAGTCCCCTGCCATGCTTAAGTCCAAAGTTAAGACTATTATTTTGTATTTGAATTCAAAATTTTTTTGTCATCTACAAAGGGAGCAGACTAAGTCATAAAGCATTCCTACCTGCCAGAGCATCCCGATAAAGCTGCACAAAGTGATTAAAGATATCCTTTGGCAAACACTTTTCATCCGGTAAACACTGTAGAAGAATGACTATCTCAGACTGACCCACTGCATGCATTCCCTTGGTTGTGAAACACCAGCACTTCCTGTTCACATCTACAGATGGAATAAAAACACAAAAATAAAGACATTCCTATCAATCCTTACTCTTAAAAAAAGATGCACAGAAATCTGTGTTACAATACAGCAAAGATTAAAATAGATCACACTGAGTCTGTATAATTCAACTGTGAACTGTCACTGCATTGAGCCAAAAACCTATTGTAGAAAATAAAACATGCCAATGCCTCTGGCTCTTTTCTAAACACTTGGAAAAATGATTGAGGACGGCCGAGGTGGCTCACGCCTGTAATCCCAGCACTTTGGGAGGCCGAGGCGGGTGGATCATGAGGTCAGGAGATCAAGACCATCCTGGCTAACACGGTGAAACCCCGTCTCTACTAAAAATACAAAAAAATTAGCTGGGTGCAGTGGCGGGCGCCTGTAGTCCCAGCTACTCGGGAGGCTGAGGCAGGAGAATGGCGTGAACCCGGGAGGTGGAGCTTGCAGTGAGCCGAGATCGAGCCACTGCACTCCAGCCTAGGCGAAAGAGTGAGACTCCGTCTCAAAAAAAAAAAAAAAGAAAAGAAAAGAAAAGAAAAATGATTGA